>NC_000013.11:75529318-75680833 GCF_000001405.40 Homo sapiens | reverse complement strand
ACAGAAAACCTAACACCGTATGTTCTCACTCATAAGTGGGAGTTGAACAATGAGATCACATGGACACAGGGAGGGGAACATCACACACTGGGGCCTGTCAAGGGGTTGGGGGATAGGGGAGGGATAGCATTAGGAGAAATACCTAATACAGGTGACGGGTTGATGGGTGCAGCAAACCACCACAGCACGTGTATCCTATGTAATAAAACTGCACGTTCTGCACATGGACCCCAGAACTTAAAGTAAAATTAAAAAAAAAAAAGTCAAGAAACAACAGATGCTGTCAAGGCTGTGGAGAAATAGGAATGCTTTTACACTGTTGGAAGGAATGTAAATTAGTTCAACCACTGTGGAAGACAGTGTGGCAATTACTCAAAGACTTAGAACCAGAAATATGATTTCACCAGCAATCCCATTACTGGGTCTACAGCCTAAGGAGGATAAATCATTCTATTATAAGGATACATGCACACATATGTTCACTGCAGCACTGTTTACAATAGCAAAGACATGGAATCAACCCAAATGCCCATCAATGATAGACTGGATAAAGAAAATGTGGTACATATACACCATGGAATACTGTGCAACCACAAAAGGGAACGAGATCATGCCCTTTGCAGGGACATGGATAGAGCTGGAAGCCATTATCCTCAGCAAACTAACACAGGAATAGAAAACTGAACACCGCATGTTCTCACTTACAAGTGGGAGCTGAACAATGAGAACACATGGACACAGGGAGGGGAACAACACATACTGGGGCCTGTGGGAGGGAGATCGTCAGGAAAAATAGTTAACGCATGCTGGGCTTAATACTTAGGTGATAAGTTGATAGGTGCAGCAAACTACCATGGCACACGTTTACCTATGTAACAAACCTGCACATTCTGCACATGTATCCTGGAACTTAAAATAAAATAAAAATTTTTTTAAAAAAGAATCACCAGGACTGCAGGGTGTGGTAGCTCACACCTGTAATCCCAGCACTTTGAGAGGCCAAGGCAGGCGGATCACTTGGGTCCAGGAATTCAAGATCAGCCTGGAAAACATGGCAAACTGCATTTCTACAAAAAATACAAAAATTAACTGAATGTGGTGGCACATGCCTACAGTCCCAGCAACTGGTGGGGGTTGAGGCAGGAGGATCACTTAAGTCCAGGAGGTCAAGGCTGCAGTGAGCTGTGATCACACCACTGCACCCTAGCCTGGGTGACAGGTCATCAGGACTATTTGTTAATACTTTAGATTCCCACCTCTGCCTCCATTCTTAGGTCAGTGTGTCCAGGGTAGGAGCCAGGAATCTGCAGTTTAATAAGCATTTTAGATGATTCTGATGCAGGTGGTCCAAAAATGTTATGCAGCATTATCATGGCAAAAGCTAAAACACCCTTCCGCCATTTTTTCATCTGAGTCTTACTCGTTTCCAAGTTTCAGCAACTCTGGCTATGAAGACAGAAGTATAGGCACCTTCTGGAACTGCCGCTCTCAGCCTATTGCCTCTGGATGAGTGAGACACATGAAACATGGCAGTTTTGGGGTCATCATTATAGGTGCAACCTTGCAAAGCACTGTGATATAGAAGACAGTAAATATTTGTAACATGGAAGCATCTATAAAACTGAGCAACACATGCAGCTAGTCTATTTTAATCTGTCACTAAAGTACAATGTTTCTTATATACAAGGTGCTCTATATATGTGTTCTGAATGAAATATTCTGTGTCATGAAAAGAAAGGGGGGAAAAAACAATGAATTCTGGACTCTGGAAGACTGAACCTAGTATGTGATAAAGACAGAAGTAGCTGTGAACAAAGGAAAAGAAGGCTTTATCACTGGAGACGCTGAGCACAACAAACATGATCAAATAACCAGATACTAAGGTCTTTTCCAAACTTCCAATTCTAAGAGAGCTATGGATTTCAGATAATCATCTGCTTCCTGTCATGAACAGTTTCACCTAGCTGGAAAGACAAGAAAGAAATTAAATTCAGAGGAACACAGATCACTCTTAAAACAAACGTTAATCATGGAACATCTAAAACGCTTGTATTTATGGCAAATTTCAAACAGAAAAAAAATTATTTATCATTTTCTGACATTTATCACTCCATTTGGAACCTAGACTAGAACATTATTTTTAAAGAAACACTGTGCTGGATTCCTATGTGTACACTGAGAGGAGGAGAGCTGGTCTCACCGAAGAGGTGTGAGGGAGAAGCAGGCAGAAATTCTGAGCATCCCAGAAAAGGCACCTGCTCTGTAAATCCTGTCCCCATCTCTCAAGGGCCACCATCACCATCTGAGAGCTTTGCTCACAGAGCCCCATTTGGAAACTTTCCCCCAAAATAAAGCTATAGGACAGGGCGAAGGATATGAACAGACACTTCTCAAAAGAAGATATTTGTGCAGCCAAAAGACACATGAAAAAATGCTCATCACTGGCCATCACAGAAATGCAAATCAAAACCACAATGAGATACCGTCTCACACCAGTTAGAATGGTGATCATTAAAAAGTCAGGAAACAACAGGTGCTGGAGAGGATATGGAGAAATAGAACACTTTCACACTGGTGGTGGGACTGTAAACTAGTTCAACCATTGTGGAAGTCAGTGTGACGATTCCTCAGGGATCTAGAACTAGAAATATCATTTGACCCAGCAATCCCATTACTGGGTATATACCCAAAGGATTATAAATCATGCTGCTATAAAGACACATGCACACATATGTTTATTGTGGCACTATTCACAATAGCAAAGACTTGGAACCAAGCCAAATGTCCAACAATGATAGACTGGATTAAGAAAATGTGGCACATATACACCATGGAATACTATACAGGCATAAAAAATGATGAGTTCATGTCATTTGTAGGGACATGGATGAAGCTGGAAACCATCATTCTCAGCAAACTATCGCAAGGACAAAAAACCAAACACTGCATGTTCTCACTCATAGGTGGGAATTGAACAATGAGAACACATGGACACAAGAAGGGGAACATCACACACCGGGGACTGTTGTGGGGTGGGGGGAGGGGGGAGGGATAGCATTAGGAGATATACCTAATGTTAAATGACGAGTTAATGGGTGCAGCACACCAACATGGCACATGTATACATATGTAACAAACCTGCACATTGTGCACATGTACCCTAGAACTTAAAGTATAATAAAAAAAAAAAAGCTACAGGACAAATACAAAGACTTCTATTGGGACGCACAAGAAATCTAGCTTATTTCCTAAATTTCACTCATTTCCAATTTAGGAAATTTGGCTGGATTATGTATTTGGCTGGATTATGTAACTTCACATGTATTAGTCATTCCATATATTTGTCTGATATTTTCGCTAAAATATCCCAAACACGTAGAAAAGTCACTGGCTTTTTTAGCCAGTAGGTACTCAAATATCTGTTGAAGAAATTAATTTCTAAATATGATATAGCTTATAAACAGCAATATATGACAGATCTTCAGTTTACTCAAATTCTACTTATAGATATCAGTAAGAATTAAATGTCAAAGGTTAGCTCTTCCAGACAATAATTGCAATTTTAGAAACCATAAAGTAAATAAAACTCCACTTAGTCAAAAGTATTAGAGTAGATTTTTGTAGAGGATGGTCCATGGTCCTTTCCTCTGTCCAGCATCCAGGCCATCACCCCAAATATGCCATTCATTACTAATGCTAATGTATACACAGCCAGCTCTGTCTCTCTGAGTTAAACAAAATTGTGAAGAATAAATCCTAGGGGAAAAAATACTTGGGTTCATTCCATATCATAAATAAGGTCTTAAAAGCCTTTTTTTAAAAAAGAAAAGTTGTTCAAAATAAATTTGTACTACTAGGATCTGATCCAAAAGTAAAACTTCATAGCTTTTATATTAAAAGCTTTCAATTACAGACTTAAATCTGTAAAGCTGTAATTCCAAGTTACAATTTGGAACATTCGATAGGTAAAAAGCCCACTAGGAATGCCTTATGTGCAATCATCAAAGAACTGCCACCGTATACTACCCCTGAATCACTGTTTTTGTTTAAAAAATAGTTGGGAGGGGGTTATCCTCAACTTATTTACGTAGCACTCCTCTTAGTGGCTAAAAGCTTTGTTAATAATGCAATGCCTTCTCATCTTTGTTAGCTAGTGAAACGAGGTTTGAATTTCACATTCAATTGGTAGTGGCTATGGAATGCATTAAATAATGAACGTCTTATTCAGAGGAGAACAAACTAATCTTCAGGTGTGGATTGATACAAAGAGAGAGACATTCACAGAATTCAAAACAGAATCAACACCTAACAAATTCTTGCTCTCCACCCCGGTGTTACATTACCTACCACATTGCTTAGAAGGTTCATTCCTCCCTGCAAAGACACTTACAAGTTATTCAGATTAATGTAAAGGAGCCGGCTTGGAGTGCTCGTATATAACTTAGATATAGAAGGGCGAGCTTTGAAAAATCTTTTTTTGTTATCTATAGTTATATTAACAATCATAGAGATTAATGAGTAGAACAGTTACTGTTAATTGATTAAGTCAGACAAATACTGAATCCGGAGAGAGGCACATACTTAAATAATTAATATGTTATACTTGACAGCATAATTTCTTTTTCCACTGGCAAGTGGAAAAAGAGCAGTAACTCTTATGTAGAGCAATAACAGCATAATTTTATTCATCTACTCAACCAACATTTAGTGAACATCTACTACGCTCCAGGCAGGATGCTAAGGATACTTTCAACAGCAATGTGACTACATCTAACATCCTAAATACACATATATACATATTCATTAGTAACACATAGAGTCTTTTACAAACGTGCAGTTTTAGGGAACAATTACAAAATTTCCCCACATATTTTAATTATGACTTTGCTTCATCTAAGATGCATCGTGTATATGACGTGTGTGTGTGTGTGTGTGTGTGTGTGTGCACGCTCGTGCACGCGTTTTACAAGGAGGAGACATTTTCCATCCAGGGGGCAATTTATAAAATGTTCTTCAATTTTATGTTTTACAAGCATCATGTCTCACTGGCCAACTCCTTCAACTAAATAAGTAACTCTCATTCTTTGTTCAAAAAAAGCATTTTACAATGAATGACTGGGTAACATTTAGATACAGAGCTCTGTCTCAGAAAGTTCACCCACATGCCTGCAATAAAGAAGTCTTAGGATTTGTCTTGTTGGTTCAGAATTCCACCAATACCACAGGAGAGAGAGCAGCTTCCTAAAGAGTGCTTAGTTTCTTCTTGGAACAAAACAAAACAAACAAAATGCTAAGAGGAGGAGAAAAAAATGTGCATCAAAAAATGAAGCCCAATTTTCTACAAGTTTATGTAAATATTATTTCATAAAAATATTTTATAATCATGAGACCTAGCTTAAACTTTGTTTACAAAAGATTTTATAACTGAAAGGAAATACAGGGTAGAAATATGTTGTAACAGGCCGGGCACGGTGGCTCATGCCTGTAATCCCAAAACTTTGGGAGGTCGAGGTGGGTGGATCATTTGAGGTCAGGAGTTTGAGACCAGCCTGGCCAACATGGTGAAACCCCGTCTCTACTAAAAATACAAAAATTAGACAGGCATGGTGGCAGGCGCCTGTAATGCCTACTCGGGAGGCTGAGGTAGAAGAACTGCTTGAAGCCGGGAGGCAGAGGTTGCAATGAGTGAAGATCATGCCACTGCACTCCAGCCTGGGCGACACAGCAAAATTTCATCTCAAAAAAAAAAAGAAAAAAGAAAAGAAAAAGAAATATATTGTGACATTCTTCTGTTATAATTTAACCTGAAGCTAAAATTACAAATAACAGGACTAGGAAACTGAAACTGACTCCGAAACAATATGCTCACTACAAGCTATTTGCTGGCAGATTTAATCCAGTAATTTCAACAAGATATCACTTGTATTTTCTTTACAATTAAGTCTCTATTTTTTAAAGATTGGATACCACTATTCCATTACTATAACCAGAATATTGTTCAAATAATACTTTTTCATTTCCTTTGAGCAGGATTTCTCTTTCAAAAACTAGGCTAATACCCAAGTGATAACATAAATGATTTGAGACACCATTGTATTCCACTGTAATTTTGTGTATTCCCAAACTCTCAAGTCCTATTTGGAAAAGGTCAAAATATTAAGAATAAAAACTACAAATTCAGTCCTTCCATTTAGTTGCATTCTTCCATTTTATGTCCCCTTCTGCTTTGAGTTTCCCAACACACGGGAGCATTCTGACCTCTACTGCCAGAAGTTGGAACTTTTTTCACAAGTGTTTTTACTTCAATTATATTTTTCTATAAAATTCACAACATCCATAGAAATGTTTCTGAAAGCACAATCCACAGCAATTTTCTTGACAGCTCACAAACGCTAGGAATTTTTTTTAACATGGTATTTTCATTTGATGATAATCCTACTAAACTTTTTACAAGTTATCAAGCCAAAAGCAATTCTTTTGCAATGTTAATTCAAACTGGAAGATATTTTTAAGGATGAATAAATGTTTCCTAAACTGGAGTCAGTCAATATACTTTTGGAAGCTAGAAACACTGATCCACAATATTGTTCATTTCAGATGTGTTTAAGCATTGTTTTCTTTAAGAGTACAAATGTAAGTTTTGTTAAAGTCACTGTCTTCTATTGTTCTCTATTTAAATTTGCAAACAAATATTCCAAGGAATAAATGGACATTAAGTCATGTATTCAAATTTATGAAATTGTGACTTGATAATGAATACACCACTTTGAGAGAAAGTTTTTATTTCTGAAAAAATTCAGTTGAAAGTTTAAAATGACTAAAAGCCAAAGAAGAAACTAGAACTATGATTTAAATTCCTCAGTTAGTTTGATTTACCAGTGAGTCCTTCAGTATATTTAAGAAACAGCTAACTATAATAGCAAATAAACTGAGATCACAGAAAAAGATGTCAAAGCTTTAAAACATACATACAAAACTGGTTGTAACAGTTACAAGATTATGAGTGGCTATTATTTTTCTGTATGCTTTTCAGCCAATTCTGGATTTTTCTCAATAAGCATTATTTCCTTCATAATCAGAAAAAAATACTTTTTAAATTACAGTATAAACAGTATATAATAAAGATGGTACATCCTTTATGGACACATAAGGTGAGAAAATAATTGAAAACCTAGTTAAAAGTGGCTTGAAGATGATTTTGTTCTAAGCAGCAAGAAATCCACAGCTAAAGACCAGTCCCAAAATGTCCTCAGGGTCCCAGGTCCATCCTCAGTATAATGGCCTTTATCTGCATGCTTTGTTGCCTCAGGGTTGCAAGGTAGCTGTTGGACATCTGCTCCTCACACCCTCATCCAAATAGGAAAAGAGAGAAAGGGTAAGATTAAAGGGTTATGCCAGCAGCCTGTCCCTCTTTACCGGCAAGGCAATAGCTCTCCTGGAAGATACACTCAGTGGTCCTCTGGGACACATGGCCACCCCAAGCAGCAAGGGTGTCTGGGAAGACACATATTTTCATCTGGATTTACTAACATTCTCATAAATGTCAAGGTTCAGATGGAAAGCAATGAGAGTATCAAGTAGATGATTTGTAGTATCTGCCCAGTAGATCATGAAAAAAAAGGTGAATTCACCTGGGTGGTTGTCTATCAAGACAAATCCTAAGACTTCTCAACAGTTAAAATAGACCCGTTGCTCATGCCTCACACTTAAATTATTCCAGATAGATGGATGATTTTAAAGCATGTGAATCCACAAAATAACCTAAAGAAACTAGGATAATTTTTGTACTCTAGGAATGAGAAAAATTTTTGTAATACAAAACCCAGAAATCATAAAAGAAAAAATAAACTCAACTAGATAAAAAGTTTTTAAGTTTTTCATAGAAAACAAAACACAAACTGACACACACACACATATCAAGTCACCTATTAGGCAAAGAGCCAATTTCTATAAGGAAAGAGCTCCTACAAAAGAAGGGAAGAGAACATAGTTAACAGAAAAGACACAAATTATATTTAGACATATTAACCACTTATCAGATAAATATAAAATCAAAAGTATGAGATATCATTTTCATCTTTGGTGGACAGAACAAGAATGGGGTAACAGAACTTTTCATGTGAGGCTGATGGGAGTAGAAACTGGCCAAGCATCTAGAGTGGCAAAGCAACAACTGAGCAGCTGGGAGTTACCCTACTGTTGGAACCGCACACATGCAAAACAACCTGTGCCCAGTGTTACAAACCAAAGCATTGCTTATAATTACAAATATTAGGGAAAAGGGCAAATAGCAAAAGAGGACAAGTTAAATGAATTCTAATTCATCCATACAATGTAATACAATGCAATTGTATCACCTGAGGTAGGGAGTTCGAGACCAGCCTGGCCAACATGAAGAAACCCCGTCTCTACTAAAAATACAAATTTAGCCAGGCATGGTGGCACATGCCTGTAATCCCAGCTACTCAGGAGGCTGAGGCAGAAGAATTGCTTGAACCCGGGAGGCAGAGGTTGTGGTGAGTGGAGATTGTGCCATTGCACTCCAGCCTGGGCAACAAGAGCAAAACTCCATCTCAAAAAAAAAAAAAAAAAATCTTTTTTTAACAAAGCACTTTATGGGCCAATATATAAGGGCAGTCAAGCTATACTGTCAAGTAACAAAACCAAGGGACACAAGAGTGTGCATACAGCCGGCTCTCTGTATCTGCAGGTTTAACAATCTTATATAAGGAACTTGAACATCCAGGGATGTTGGTATCTGCAGGGAGTCCTGATGCCAATCCTCCAGGCATGCTGAGGGTCGACTGTATTGTGTTTCTATTTGTATTTTTAAAAATTAAGCAATGTATGAAATATGAAGAATATCCAAAGCATTCAAAACTTCAGAAGCCCTCTGAAGATTTTTTTTATTTACCATGCACAGTTGACCTGTACTTTCTCACCAAGCAGTGACAACTCGGGATGATGCAGAGCCTTTAGAGAAGGGGAGACAGGCAACAGGCTGGCTATGGAACTTGAGCTCCAGAGATGACCTGAGATATTTTACTCCTTGGCAAAGCACCTGAGAAGGGCAGGATCCAAAATGTCTTTAATATAAATTCAACCAACTATGGATTCATTTTTTTAAACAAATTTCTATTGTAAGACGTGAATGTTGTTGGAGAATTAGCTCTCATTTCATCTTTAATCAAGGATTTTTACCATTACCTGATATGAGTAGCAGAGTGACAAATGGCAGCTTCATGAGGGCTAGAAGGAACAGGAAGGTTTGTTAACTGGCTTGGGAGAGAAGGGGACACTGGGAGACAGAAAAGTAATCACACGCCGGATAAAGATGTTCTGGTCAAAACCACTGACTGCAAATATGATGGTGGACTCATGAGACTACAAGGGAGCTGAAAATTTCCCATCTTCTATCTAGTGATATCGCAGCAATCACACTATCATAGTGCAATGCATTATGTGTTTGTGGTGATTCTGGTGTAAATGAACCTACTATGCTGCCAGTAGTATAAATGTATAGCATGAACAGTTATGTACAGGATACAATATTTGATAATGATAATAGTTATGTTACTATACTGTTTATCATAGTTTTAGAATGTACTTATTAAAAAAAAAAAAGGTTAACTGTAAAACAGTGTCAGGCCAGTCCCTCAGGAGGTATTCCAGAAGAAGGCATTGGTGTCATAGGAGACGACAGCTTCATGTGTGCTATTGCCCCTGAGGGCCTTCCAGTGGGACAAGACGTGGAGGTAGAAGACAGTGATATCGATGATCCTAACCCTGGGTAGACCTAGGCTAATCCTGGTGTTTGTGTCTTGGTTTTTAACAAGAAAGTTTAAATAGTAAAAAAAAAAAAAAAAAGTTTTAAACATTAAAAAAAAAAGGTATAGAATAAGAATATAGAGAAAGAAAATATTTTTGTACAGCTGGCCAATGTGTTTTTAAGTGTCATTACAAGAGTCAAAAAGTTTAAAAAATTGGATATTAAAATAAAAAAGTTACAGTGAGCCAAGTTTATTGAAGCAACAAAAATCATTTTTTATAAATTTAGTATAGTGTAAGTATACAGTGTTTATAAACTCTGCAGCAGTGTACAGTAATGTCCTAGGCCTTTACATTTAGTCACCACTGACTTATTGATTCACCCAGAGCAACTTCCGGTCCTGCAAGCTCCATTCATGGTGAGTGCCCTATACAAATGTAGCATTTCTTATCTTTTATACCATATTTCTACTGTACCTTTTCTATGTTTAGATATGTTTAAATACACAAATACCATTGTGTTACAATTATCTACAGTATTCAACACAATAACATGCAGCACAGGTTTGTAGCCTAGGAGCAATAAGCTACACTATATAGCCTATGTGTTTGATAGGCTACACCATCTATGTTTGTGTAAGTACACTCTACGATGTTACACAATGACAAAATAGCCTATATGACACATTTCGCAGAAGGGTATCCCCATCATTTAGTTACACATGCCTGTACACTCCTTCTCAGTGGCAGAAAATAAAAGAAGCAATAGGAATGAGCCACAATAGATGTTCTGCAACTTTAAGGACATGAGGATGTGTTCAGGAACTATAAAATCTGAACTTCCCCTACTTCAGCATACTTTTCTGATTCCCATACTAATTCATCCTAGCATCTTCCCAACAATCGAAGTTCTCTCCTATTAAGCAAAGAGGCCAAAAGGCAGGGAGGAGGAGAGAGGTGTATGTATTTCATAGTTCCCTGCAACTCCTGCACAAAGTTTAGGGCCTTTCTCTGTTATAAGGGCCTATAAAAGGCAAGTGTTGGGAAGGTTATAGCAACTTGCAAACCCTCCAGGGACCTCAGAATAAGCAGGCATAGCTGTAAGGGAAACCTTGGACCAGAGATGTTCTCTACACCCTTGGCACTGGGACCACAGTTTCCACCAGATCATGTCCCTATCCCATATCCTGAAACCTCTGCCAGTGAGCCACATTAAGTCTTTACAATGTGCAGAGTAACAATAAAAGCTGCTATAGGGAAATAAAACCAAAAATAAAGGGAAAAATAAGTCCCTATTCTCATGGAGCTCATAACCTCTTGCAATCAAAAGCTATGAATGCATGCATGCCAGCCCACAGAGCCTCTAGAATTTACAACAGAGCAGCTTTCACCAACTAAAACAACTCAGTACATAAGCACAAAGGGTATAGTATATCAAGTGGCCTGCAACAGATGAGGCTAGGCGGGCATTGCTATGCTATTCACTTCATTTTATTCCCCTCTATCATGCAATCTCTCCTTGCCTTATCACCCAGACTTCCTGAAAGAGAATTCTATACTCTCATACCTTCGCATCTCCGATTTACTTCTCAGTGAACTCCAGCTTGTCTTCCACCTTCACTCTGAGATTGCTCTAGGCCACTAGGGAATCCTAATTTGCGGATAACATACAGATTTGGCGGGGCGGCGGGGGGGTCACTTTTCTGAACTGTTAGTTTGATACTATTTTAATATTTAACTATTTGTAGGTCACAACGTTTTCTGGAAGTACGATGAATGCTATGAGACTTCTCCCCAGAAATCTCTCTTACACACACACTCACAATGCAGAGGGTTCAGAAACTCTCTGAAACATAATCCTGGAAAAATCAGGTCAATAGATTCCAGCTTAAGAACCACTGACCACTTACTTTGGTTTTGGTAACAATTTTTTCTTACTGGTTACTGCACTTACTTTGGAATCTTTTTCCTGGGTTTCCCTTGCTGTGCTGACCTCTTAGACATGACTGTTCCTCAGGGTTATAAATTCAGGCCAATCCTCTCAGTCAAAATATTCCTCCTTGCTCATCTACTCTCATGATCTCAGGCATCATCTGCCCGCTTAGCAGTCTGAAACCTCTAACGTCAGCACAAACCTCACCTCTACAATTCTTACTTCAAAATCTACCACTTGGTGGTATCCCCACCTTAGCTAACAAAATATTCAACATGACCGAAATCAAATTCATCCCCCTTAGCTCCCTGTCCCTGATATAGCCAAGTTGTTTTTCTATGATCTCTCTTTGTCACTTCATAATGTCAAGTCAATATCACAATTCTACTTCTGGGATGGTCAAGTAGCTCCCATTAGACCAACCTTCTACAGATAAAAACTACAAACTTGGGACTAATGTATAAAAAAAAAATTTCTGAGGGTACTGGAGAGTAGCTGAAAGCAGGCATTTACTGGAAGTGAGTTGACATGTGGAAGAAGGAACTGCACTAAATGAGCATCTAGTTTGTATTGCCTGAAGACAGGCCCTGGTCTGTGCATGTTAAGTGGCTAAAATTCTCATGGAAAACTCACTGTCTCACCTGCCTTCAGAAATAAGAGGACAGAGTTCAGGACAGCCACAGTCACTGGAAAGTAAGGCAGAAATTTCAGGCAAGCCAGAACTAAAGAGAGAAAATATAAAAACTCCCAAATTTCTAGATGGCCCCTGAACCACAGGTGCAGGCTTACTCCAAGCATACCAGTGAAGGCAAAAAGACCTGACCTGAGATTTAAACTGCCACCACTACAGAGAAAACAGAATTTGCAGTTTGAGTCCAGGTAAATTAACTGCCTGGTTTTGTTTTTTGTTTTTTGGTTCTTTTTCGAGACAGAGTCTCACTCTATCACCCAGGCTGGGGTGTAGTGGCGCAATCTTGGCTCACTGCAGCCTGCACCTCCAGTGTTCAAGCAATTCTTGTGCCTCAGCCTCCCAAGTAGCTAGAATTACAGGCGTGCACCACCACGCCCAGCTCATTTTTGTATTTTTAGTAGAGACAGGGTTTCACCATGTTGGCCAGGCTGGTCTCGAACTCCTGGCCTCAAGTAATCTGCCCACCTTGCCTCCCAACATGATGGGATTACAGGCATGAGCCACTGCGCCCAGCCTAAATGCCTGTTTTAACAAAACAAACAAAAAACACTTTTTGACAAAACATAACAATTGTGAGTTTCCACAACTTATCATTTATAATGTCCAGGATATAATCCAAATTGCTTGACATAAAAGAACCAGGAGAAAGTGGCCACTTCCCAGGAGAAAAGACAATCAAGAGAGACTCCAAGATGTTCCAGTGATCCTAATTAACAAGCAAGCATTTCAAAGCAGCTATCATTCCAATATCTAGGTATGGAAAGGAAAATATGCTCATGATAATAATGAAAGAAAATCTCAGCAGAGAAATACAAACCATAAAAAATGAACAAAAAATAAGAACCAAACCCAAGAACTGAAAAATAAAGTGGCTAAAATGAAAAATTTCACCAGATAAGACTAACAGCTGAAGAGACGACCAGAAGCAAGTCATTGACCCTGAAGACAGATCAATAGAAATTATTCAATCTAATGAACAGAAAGATAAGAGATTGACAAAAGTGAACCTTAGGGACCTACGGGAAAACATTAAAATAGCTAACATTACTGGATAACAATTGGTGACCCAGAAAAAGAGTAGGACAGAAAATAATATTTGATAAAATAATAGCCAAAATTTCCTCCACAATGGAGGAAAACACATTCAGAGATTCAAGAAGACCAGCAAATACCAAGCAGAATAAATGCAAAGAAAATGGTATGTTGGAAATCAGTCATACCACTGAAAACTAAGTATAACCAGAAAATCTTGAAAAGCAATGAGAGAAAAATGACACATTACATACCAGAGTACATTGATTTGAATTACAAGTTACTTCTCATCAGAGACAATGGAATTGGAAAACAGTGGCACATAACCACTGCTCAAAGAAAAAAAAATGTCCACTCCATTTATAATATCACTGGCTACTGGCCTCAGACATCAAAAACCTAAGAGTAAGCTAGACTTTTTTTCTTACACTCAAACCCTCCCAGGACTACTGATTCTACCTCCTTTAGATCTATTTGAGCCACCACATCTCTCCCAACAAGTAGCAACTTGAGCCCTCGTTTCTCTCCTGAATTCCAGCAATAGCTGTTTGGCTGGCTTCTGGGCAACTCACATTTCAGAGGATGACCTGGGCTCTCTAAGAATACTGATTAGCTCATGCTCTTGCAAAAGTCACTCAATGACTTCCTACTGCATTCAAGATAAAATCCAAACTTTTTACAAGAGAATTCTCAAACTTTTGAATCTCAGGGTCTTTTCATATTTTTAAAAAATGTTGAAGGCCCCCAAGAGCTTTTGTTTATGTGGAATTATCTATAGGTATTTGCTGATAATACAGTCTAGGACAGTGAACAAATATGACAAGGGGAGAATCATTTCAGGGGAAGCCTGGAATGGCCTTAGGAATACAGTAAGTTCTCAATGCAGCACCAAAAACCCTCACTACACCACCATAGGTCACCAAATACACTAAATATCTCATTCTAGAACAGAGCAGAAATGAGAACACTTTAGGAAGATTTCTACTATTTCTAGATCCTGAAACAAAGAATTAGGACATTGGGGAACTTCACTTTCAAGAAAAAGACTAGTTACAGAATAGTCAAAGTAACATACAACTTCCAAATTAATCCATTTATGCCAGAGGTTGCAAAATACTTTTGTGAAAAATCACAACTGATGCGTTGAACAGTAGGCTGTAAATAATTCCCACAAGCTTAACGTTCCAATAATGGAACACTAGGCATAAATGGGTTAAACCAATTTATTGCTAACTTTTAAAAAGTATTTTGCTGTTACATGCATGGTCTATATCAATACAAATAACAAAACCAAAAACATAAGGTTAAAAAAAATTTAAAAGTTTCCTCTGACTCCAAGTGCAGTCAGAAAACATTAGAATATTCTATGACAAATGTTACTTGGAGGAGTATCCTAATACTTTATGTTTATCATTTTTCTTCTGAATATCTTCTAACATTTCTTTTCATAACCTAGAAAATAGGATCTTAAATAGAAAATACACTTAGCTGAGTAACTAGCAACACTTGTAATATTTATTCACTTCTGGTTTCTGGCCCCCAACATTGAACATCCATAGAACATATAAAATGTAGACCAGGGAGGCCAGGCGTGGTGGCTCACACTTGTAATCCCAGCACTTTGGGAGGCCAAGGCGGCCAGATCACCTGAGGTCAGGAGTTTGAGACTGGCCTGGCCAACATGGTGAAACCCTGTCTCTACTAAAAGTACAAAAATTAGCCGGGCATGGTGGCAGATGCCTGTAATCCCAGCTACTTGGGAGGCTGAGGCAGGAGAGTCGCTTGAACCCAGGAGGCGGAGGTTGCCGTGAGCTGAGATCGCGCCATTGCACTCCAGCCTGGGGTACAAGAACGAGACTTTGACTCAAAAAAAAAAAATGTAGACTAGGGAGACATAAATTTCCTCTGAATTAGAATATAATCAAGTCAATTAATCCATTCAGATTAAAACTTCAATAATTTACAAGAATACAAAAGTAAATCTATTCTTTTCCCATATAAAAATTTTTAAAAATATCTAAATTACTACTGTACTTCAATACATCCATAATATATTTAAAAAATAAGTATACTATAGAAAGAAAATAACCCTTTTTTAAAAAAAGAAGAGGAAAGCATAAACTATTAGAGCAGATTTGTTCTGAACTTAATTGGTTCTAAATTTACACCAAAAACTTCAAAATTTTTCTGAAAGATTTAAATATTTAAGAAAATTACTAACAAAATTTAATAGGATATTCTACCCAAGGGTAACATCAAGAGAACAAATTTAAAACTAACTATAAAACAGTCAGTATAATTTTCTCAAAAATAAACAGTACTAAAAACATTTTATTCTATATACATATACACACACCTGACCCTCAATATTGCTATTCTAATTTTAACTAGGTAATAGAAAGCACATTTTTACCACCTTTAAGGCTCCTTAGGAATAATTATATAAATGAGGCATACCAAGTGTGCTACAGAAACATTATGTCATACTAATTTCATACTATTGAGAATGTATAAAGGATGGGGATTATGAAATCAATAAATATAAAAATCTACATAACATCTCTAGAAGTTCAAGCATATTAAGGTGCAACTGAAGAACTAGAAAACTTTTCTTGGTAGTTCTAGTAAGTAAGAAGCCAAACTCGCAAGACAAAACTACAAGGAGAGATCATCTCACACCAGTTAAAAGAGCTTTTATCCAAAAGACAGGCAATAACAAATGCTGGCCAGGATGTGAAGAAAAGGGAACCCTCATACACTGTTGGTGGAAATGTAAATCAGTACAACCAATATGGAGAACAGTTTGGTGGTTCCTCAAAAAACTAAAAACAGAGCTAGCTACCTTAAGATCCAGTAATCCCACTCTTAGGTATATACACAAAAGAAAGGAAATCAGGATATCGAAAAGAGATCTGCACTCCCATATTTAGCACAGCACTATTCACAATAGCCAAGATTTGGAAGCAACCTAAGTGTCCATCAGCAGATGAACAGATAAAAAAAATTGGTACTTACAATGGAGTACTATTCAGCCATAAAAAAGAACAAGACACTGTCATTTGAAACAACATGGATGGAACTGGAGATCATTATGTTAAGTGAAATAAGCCAGGCACAGAAAGACAAATACTGCATGTTCTCATGGAGCTAAAAGTTTATTTTTATAAATTAATATTTATTTTTTATAAATATTTGTGGGAGGTAAAAATTAAAACAATTGAACTCATTGAGATAGAGATTAGAAGGATGGTTACCAGAGGCTGGGAAGAGTAGTGGAGTGGTGACGGGGAAGTGGGGACGGTTAATGGTTACAAAAAAATCAAAAGAAGGAATAAGTCCTAGTATTTGCTAGGATAACAGGGTGATTGTGGTAAAAAATAATTTAACCATACATTTTAAAATAACTGAAAGAGTATAATTGGATTGTTCGTAACACAAAGGATAAATGCTTGAAGTGATGGATACCTCATTTACCCTGATGTGATTATTACACATTACATGTCTGTATAAAAATCTTGTGTTACCCATAAATACATATATACCTATTATGTAACCAAAAAATTAAAAATTAAAAAAAAGAAGCCCAACTTTAGAAGTGGCCATATTCCTATATTCTCTTAATGAACTTGATTAAAAGGAAGCATTTTAGATTTAAAAACAATACTTAAGAATTCACTGACGGCCAGGCGCAGTGGCTCACGCCTGTAATCCCAGCACTTTGGGAGGCCGAGGCGGGTGGATCACAAGGTCATGAGATCGAGACCATCCTGGCTAACATTGTGAAACCCCGTCTCTACTGAAAATACAAAAAACTAGCCGGGTGTAGTGGCGGGAGCCTGTACTCCCAGCTACTCAGGAGGCTGATGCAGGAGAATGGTGTGAACCCGGGAGGCAGAGCTTGCAGTGAGCCGACATCGCACCACTGCACTCCAGCCTGGGCGACAGAGCGAGGCTCCGTCTCAAAAAAAAAAAAAAAAGAAAGAAAGAAAGAAAGAAAGAAAAAAGAATTCACTGACATACTTCTTACATTCACCTTTCTCTATTCCAAAGCCCTATTTACAGAATATAAAAATTTTTAAAAAAATCTGAGGCACCTCTAGAAAGCAGAGAAAAAATATCACAGGAGCATTAGAAAAAAATCCTCACACAGGGAAAAGAATGGAATGAATTTCAAGAAAAAAAGACTAGATAAAAATAAGTCTAAAAAACAGTCAACCCAAAAGAATATATACATAAGTTTTATATAGAGTTTTATAGAGAGAGAGATTTATAGTAAAAAAAAAAACTTATACATTTAATTAGCAACTACAATGACCCATGGGAAAATATACTCAATCCATAAGTAATATTGGGATTAAAAATTAGAGGCCCTCACCTCAACCCCACCATTTGAAAGCTGTATATAAGTCCCTTAAGTGGGCTTTCGTTTCCTCATATGTAAAATGACAATTTCATCTGCCATTCCTAACAGAGAGGGTTTCTGAAAGAATCAGATGAAAACACACAGGAAAGTACTTTATAAGACCTAAACCACCAACATGAGTTATGTAATCCCAGGCCAGTTACATTAACATTTTTGCTCACACAGTCCTCCTTCACAGTTAATCATTATCTCCTCACTGACCTTCACAGGGTAATTGTAAAAACAATCTAATACTTCAAGAATGTAAAGGTAAATGAGGATGCAAAAAAGTGGCTGAAAATTATAATCCTGGTTAAATAATCAGCTTCTAAAAATTCCATAAGTTGGACCACACAGAAAAACTTTTGGCACATTAAAAAACTTAGTTTTGCCAGGTGCAGTGGCTCACGCCTGTAATCCCAACACTTTGGGAGGCCTAAGCAGGCAGATTGCTTGAGCTCAGGCATTCAAGACCAGCCTAGGAAACAGAGTGAGACCCCGTCTCTGCAAAAAATACAAAAATTAGCCAGGTGTGGGGGCACACGCCTGTAGCCACAGCTACTCTGGAGGCTGAGGTGGGAGGATCGCTTGACTCTGGGAAGTCACAACTGCAGTCAGCCAAAATCATGCCACTGCACTCCAGCCTGGGTGACAGAGTGAGATTCTGTCTCAGAAACAAAAACAAACTTTGTTTCAAGGTATAAAAGATATGACATTCGCCCTAGCCAGAGGTGTTTGCTCCATTGAACAAGACTCATGGGATTCATGAAACCACTGAAATTATGTGCAAAATGTGTGCTTATATTCATTTTTTAATAAAAGAATCCATAGCTTTCATTAAGAATTTTGAGTATCACATAATGAACAAAATTAGAAGCTCTATTGTCAGAAAATAAGTCTTGATCCATAAAGTTTAACATATGACTGAAGGTGAGTCATGAGTTAAGGGTGAGTAGCTTCTCAGTTAAACTGTCACTTTTTTACCTAACAGTACAAAAGACTTTTATAAACAAAATTAAAAATGGCAAATAAATAAGAATCTGGTTATAAATTCCACATACAAAACACTTATAATTTATCATTGCTAGCAACAGAAAAGCAGACCATTTAAGAAAGTATCAGTCCACTGTAAAAAAGTAACCCTAAATAATCATGATAATGTGGGAGAATGGTTAAGAATCTTTAATAAAGAAGGAAAGATTTTACAGCATGCAAACTAGCTCAAAAAAGTTGTCAAAATACAAATAACATAAAAATAAAGCACGGGAGGGGCAAGAACACCTGCTTCCAGTGCAGATGCACTCCAAATGTCACAGTACTGGCGCAGGGGACATTTTCCACGCCTCCTGTGTGCTCAGCCTAAGACATGAGGAACGGGAACTGGAAACAGGTGGCAGTGGCTGGAACTCATGCCTGGTGACTTATCTACTTTTTCTGGAATCTGGCCCTTTTCCTTACTTCTGGTGTCCACATCTGACCATATTCCCTCATTGCTCCAATTGAAACAGCTTCTTACTTTCCTCCTTTCATCCTCTGAACCCCCTGAAGCAGGTTTTACTGCCACTTTGCAAAAAGAAAGCTAAAGCACAGAGAAGTTCTGTAACTTGCTCATGGTCACATAAAGCAGTCTACAAAGCATTTTCATAGATGTGAATTTTATTCTTGGCTTTCTAATATCAAGAAACTACTCTCTCTGTCTAAAAGTAGGGCTTGACAATATTTCATTTAATACATCTCAACTTTCCTTTGGCATCTACTATATATACACAGTACGATGGAAAACACAAAGATGAAAACCCAGTCTCAGCCCTTTCAGTGTTCTCATTAGGATGGGAGACAAAGTTATGCAAACATCACTATTTTAAAGGAGATAAATATATACAACAGAGGTCCAAAGAAAGTAGTAAGATAATATGTAGAAGGAAGAATTACTGCTGGAGATAATTATTAAAACTTCTTAGCATAAGTAATCTAAAATGAACAGTGAGAAGATTAAATGTGAAAATACACATTTGCCAAAATGTCTGTGGTCTTGCATCATTTAACCAAGTCTATACTCTCCTACCTACGTTCTAAATTCTGTTGCCAAAGTATCTGTTATCAGTCAACCCTACCCCCTACCTGAAACTCATGACAAGGAATGAGGCACCTCTTCTCCTACTGCTCAGGAAGGGGCTCAGAAACAAAACCTCAAAGACTCAAGGGACCGGGTTTCTAAAAACGGAAAACATGACAAACTCATGGAGTAATATTTAGGAACCAAGGTCCTTCTACTCATAGACAGCACAGTAGATGGCCTACTCTACAACCTCCTGAGACCATGAAGCCCCAAGCCTCTGGTAAGCAGAAGAATCTGAAAGAAAGCAGAAATAACAAAGACCCCGTGAAGAGAGAAAAGCAAGATGCAGTGAGCTCTCCTGGTATAGTAACACTGTACACTGAAGAAGAAGCACTGCACCCCATCAGCCAGCCAATCAAGAAGTTGGAAAATGCAAGTGTGAAAACCAAGAAACAAGAAGGAGGATTTAAAGAGAAGGGCATAAATGATGGAATGGAGATGCCATTCCCTGCAAACATATCAAAAAAAGGCAAATTAATCCAAAATTGGTTCTTTGAAATGATCACTTAGATAAATATACCCCTGGATAGGAATTTTGTGAAAATTTTAAATTTTTTTAAAGGATAAGCTACAGTAAGATAAATACAGAGTAAAATGGGGCAATAAACAAAGATCTAATACAATGTCAGCTAAGGTGTACTTTTTTAATCCCTCTTGCTAAAATGCAAGTAAGTCTCACAAGGCCACAGACTTTTCTCTATTTGATTGCTGCTATTTCCCTAGCCCCTACATCGTCTAGAACATAGGAAGTGTTCAATAAACATCTTCTAAATGAATACTCCGAGTTGTTTTACAAGAACATTATGAACTATTAACTAAAATTTGAGAATCTAACTAGAATGGACTTTTAGAATCATATGAAATGCCAACATAAATGCAGAAAGGAATGGAGTTTTGATCTGTACTCCCCTGAAATATGTCCCAGACTAAAATATTTTTACACATGACAGAATAAGAGAGAAGGCAACACAGTTCATTTAATGAGGATAATAAAATCTTGATTCCAGATCTAACCAAGGCCCAAGGACAAAATGCAGGGACAATTCACTTAAGAATATAAAAGAGAAAAAGTCTTAGATAAAATACCAAATAACAGAAGTTAATAAAGTATTTTTAAAATTCATAATCACAGAAATTGCTTTTTTTATTCCAAGAAAGCAGGTGATATGGTTTGCCTGTGTCCCCATCAAATCTCAACTTGAATTGTTATCTCCCAGAATTCCCATGTGTTGTGGGAGGGACCCAGGGGGAGGTAATTGAATCATGTGGGCCGGTCTTTCCCGTGCTATTCTTGTCATAGTGAATAAGTCTCACGAGATATGATGGATTTATCAGGGGTTTCCACTTTTGCTTCTTCCTCATTTTCTCTTGCCACTGCCATCCACGTAAGAAGTGCCTTTCACCTCCCGCCATGATTCTGAGGCCTCTCCAGCCATGTGGAACTGTAAGTCCAATTAAACCTCTTTTTCTTCCCAGTCTCGGGTATGTTTTTATCAGCAGCATGAAAATAGACTAATACACAAGAGTAGCTTAATATGATAACATCTGCCACTGTATTTCACCACATTAATGGATTGGGGTGAAAACTCACACACTTTTAGTAAATGCCAAAAATTCATGTGATATAGTTCAATATTCGATTGTAATGAATATTCTCAAAACATGGAATAAAAGAAAGTGCCTATAAATTGATTTGTTAAAGACATATATCAAAGTTATAGCATAGAGTAGAAAAGTAGAAAAGAGAAATTTTTGACCCATTACTATTAAGATAGAAAAAAGTCAAAGATACCACATAATGCTAAAGATGCTGACCAAGGTAATAAGAGAAAAATAATGAGTGGAAGGAAAGAGATAAAACTCTGATTATTTAGAGATGATTTGATCATCTAGAGAGAAGAAAAATCAACTCTTTAAGAATTAATAAGAGTTGAGTTCCTGAATAGAAAAACTTCTCAATAGCATTTTTCTACACTAACCAATTAGAAGATATAGCTGAAAGCTGGGTGTGGTGGCTCACACCTGTAGTCCCAGCACTTTGGGAGGCTGAGGCAGGAGGATCATGAGGTCAGGAGATTAAAACCATCCTGGCTAACACAGTGAAACCCCGTCTCTACTAAAAATACAAAAAAAAAAAATTAGCTGGGCGTGGTGGTGGGCGCCTGTAGTCCCAGCTACTCGGGAGGCTGAGGCAGGAGAATGGTGTGAGGTCAGGAGGCGCAGCTTGCAGTGAGCCGAGATCGCGCCACTGCACTCCAGCCTGGGCGACAGAGCGAGATTCCATCTCAAAAATAAAAATAAAAATAAGATATAGTTGAATAAGATACCATTCAGAGCTGTAGCAAAAACTATGAAGTTCCTAGATTTAATATGATAAATAAGAACTTTAGTCATAATTTTTTAAAATATATTAAAGGAATATTAAAGAAGAATTGGAAAATAAAGAAATATGCTCTATTCACAGATGGGCTAAAACATTGTAAAGATGTTGATTCTCCCCAAACTGATCTAAAATTTCAACAAATTTTAATCAAATACTAGCTGGATTATTTGAAAAAAAATTAATTCTAAAGCTTGTATGGAAAAATACAAATTTATAATAGCTAAATCAATTTTGAAAAACTGAAGATACACTACCTATCTGACACACCTCAAAGCCAATAAAAAATAGTGATACTGGTACAGCAGGAGAAAAACGAGTTAGAGAGAACTCAAAAAGAGATGAGTGTGTATAAGGACCTTGACATATTTTTAAGGAAGCAGCAAGGACGGAAGGAATAGATTATTCAATATATGGTGCTAGGAAAACTGAAGGGGAAAAAAAAAAAGCCAAAACGGTGCTGGGAAAGGTTGGCCACTTTCTCATACCTCACACAAACATAAAATCCAAATTAACTGGCTACCCAAATGTGAATATAAAATTACAAAGGCATCAGAAGGATATATAGAAGAATATCTTTGTTTTAAGGATCCACAAAATTCTTAACCATAAAACAAGAATGCCTGACTGTGACATCAAAGCAAAGAATCTGTTCAAGAAAGAATCCTATAGAACAAAAGTAATAAATAGGTGAGGGCCTTAGAGAAGATATTTGGAACATCTAAATATAACAAGGAATTATATATAAAATATACACAAAAACCTTCTACATGTTAATAAGAAATCTAGTAACCAATGGCAAAAGGATATGAGAAGGACATTCACTGAAAGGAAAACCCAGCAGTATTAAATGCAAATTTAAAAACCATAAGTTGGTCCTTGAGGAATACTGTGTCACTCAAAGAGCATCTGATTCACTGGGTGGGTTCATATTCATTCTCTCTTCTACTTGGCAGGGATCTGGATCATATTATCTGAGAGTTCTCGTTTTGTTCAAAGTAGTTCAGGAGTTTCATAACTATGCTTCAGGTGTTCCTTTGCTGGCTCATTAAATTGACTGCTGGTGTCACCAAAACACACATGTATACACACACACATATGCATGAGATACTTTGCACCCATGGAATTGGCAAAACTTCCCAAAAAGGATATCAGTGATGATGAGTGTTTGCTGGTATGTCCTAGGGCTGCTGTAATAAAGTACCACAACTCAGTGACTTCGAACAACAGAAATTTATTATTTCACAGTTCTGAAGTCTAGAAGTCTGAAATCAAGGTGTCAGCATGGCCATGCTATCTTTGAAACCCACAGGGAACAGATCCTTGCCTCTCTGTTCCCACAGGCTGGTGGTTTGCTGGCAGTCTTTGGCATCCTTGCCTTGTAGAAGCATCACTCCAATTCTCCATCTTCCCACGGCCTTCATCCCTCTGTGCATGTCTGCCTCTGTATCCAAATCTACCCTTTTTATAAAGATACCAATCACACTGGATTTGGCCGACCCTAACAATCTCGTTTAACTTGATTACCACTGTAAGGACTCTATTTCCAAATAAGAAACATTCTGCGGTACCGGGGGCTAGGGTTTCAACATATCTTTTTGTGGGGACACAGAGCAGTGTAATATTAAAGAGTAAGCCTGGCTCACCCTAGGCCTGATGACTCAACAAGGGAAGGGAAAAGGAGGCTCCAGAAGTCTAATCTTCTTCACAGGGTGGGGTCCTCAGGGAGAATGACTGTATGCCAGTCCTGAGCTGAGCTTTTACATAGCCAACTGAATTGATGTAACCTTTCCAAGAGCCACACACTCCACATCCACATGAAACTTGTTGGCTAGGATCTCTCTCCACTGGCACTAACTATAAACCTTCTGTAGTCTACTAACCGCAAGCTAAACATGGCACCCCAGAAACCATAACTATGACAACCCTTTAGCATACTAAATAGGCACACATTTATTCCCAAGTCATAACTTAAGAGAAAATGTTACAGTCAAGGTTTTTAAATGTAGAAACAATTTTAAATGATGGAAAATTTTGAATTCAAATTTTAAAAAACATATTTCAAAAGTGAATTACCAATCTGAATTGCTGGGTAGAAGGGCAAAAATACGATAATATTAATAGTGCATCTACAGAAAGCCTAAAGCATTTTTAAGCATAATAATAAGTGGTAGCATATTAAATGCAATCTTCTTTCCTCTCCCAACTTCAAATCCAAACCAAACACCTCCCCTGGACCCACAGTTCCAGGCAAAGTATTTGGCCCCCAGAGAGTGGGCAAGAGAGCTGCTGCAGGACTATCTTAGCTTCAGCATGGGAGAACTGGAAGACGAAGAGTGGAAGAGCCCCACAGTAAGGCTTTGCCCGCAGTTTACAGGACAAAGTGATCCACAGATAGACCTGGATCCCAAAGGGAATAACCACAACAGTTGCCATGGCTTCCAGGATGAGAGGAGGTAGAGATGTTTTCCTGAAGGCAGAAAAACAAAGGAACCTAGGAGCAGAGACATCTCCTGCTGGTGTCTCAAGATGGGACAAGGACTTGCTGCAGATTCACTGCCTGCCACATGGATAGAAACCACTGTGCTGCCATTACACAAGGCAGCCCAGAAATGGGACCTGAGCTGCAATGACAACACAGGGATAGATTAACCACACACCTCAGGGGGCCCAGCAGCCAAAGAAAGAACAAACAAGAAAAATCTTCCCAAATCCTAATGAATTTGAGCTCCTGGAAGACACAGGTGACAACTTGAAGAAACAACAAGCACTTCAGGAAATTCAAGTAAATATTTTTTTAAAGACCTTTTTAAAACAAATATATATATATATATATATATATATATATATATATATATATATATATATATAAAATCCATGAACAAAAATATTCAGCAGATAAATTGAAGCATCAGCACTACCAACATTAGAGACCTCAAAGAAATATCAACTACAGAGCAATACTTTTACAAAGAGATAGAAATCATGGAAAGACTCTGCAAAGATCTGTAGAAAATCTAAATGCAAACAAAAGAAGTTGCAAAAATATCTGAGATGACAATCAAATAGAATAAATATCACTGAGTCAGATAAAACCTGACATTTTGTGTTGAAGAAAAATATTTTTAAAATATACAACAAGCTTCCAAATAAGCTTGTAACAGTTTACAACAGGCTTTTCATCTACAATGCTGGAAATGAGAAGACTGTGGAAAAACTCTACACGCTTCAGAGGGACAAGCTCCGCAATCTGAAACTTCTATAGCTAGATAAGAAACTACTCACCTCTCAGATGATAGAAACTTGCAGATATGCAAGGATGCAGAAGATGTATTATTGGCCAGGCACAGTGGCTCACGCCTGTAATCCCAGCACTTTGGGAGGCCAAAGCAGGCGGATCACCTAAGGTCAGGAGTTCGAGACCAGCCTGGCCAACATGGTGAAACCCCGTCTCTACTAAAAATACAAAAATTAGCCGGGCGTGGTGACAGGTGCCTGTAATCCCAGATATTCAGGAGGCTGAGGCAGGAGAATCGAGGAACCCGGGAGGCAGAGGTTGCAGTGAGCCGAGATCGTACCACTGCACTCCAGCCTGGGCAACAAGAGCGAAGATTTTGTCAAAAAAAAAAAAAGAGAGAAGAGAAAAGAAAAAGTAGTTGTATTGTGTAAAAAGGGATGGAAGGAAAATATTTGAAAAATAAGTATAAGTAAACATGTATTGGAGATTTTGAGATAGAAGATGAAGAGGAGAAAAAACGATAGACCAAGATCCTAGGTAATGAGACTTGAATATGTAATAATGTTAAGTAAGGAAAATCACAAAGAAAATCCTGCTAGGAAAATTCTCAGTCCAGACCTAATGACAGGCCACAGGGAAAGAGAGATGCAGAGGAAAATGTATTCTATGCTGGTTGTTTTGTTTGCCCCATCTCTAACCCCCCACACGCCACAGCCCCATCTATTATCTGGCTTCTACCAGATCCAATAACCTCCCTTCCTGTGCCAAGGGAGGCTGCAACCTAGAGGCTCTATCGTCTTGGCTATTTGGCCAGTGGCTTCCAATTGGATTTGACCAGTGGGACGTGTCAGCTGAAAACGAGAAAAAGGAACGAGAGATCAGGCTAATTCTTCCCCTTTCTCTCTCACTGTCTCTCAAGAAATCTCATAAACTAAAATTCCATCTGATTATCCTCCTCCTTAGCCCCAGATTTGTTTTTCTGGCTTCAGCAACAGTATTTCTTTCTCAAACCTTTTTGGCCATTCAGGAAGATGTCTTCCTACTGTTGCTACCTTCTGTGCCTTGAATTCTTTGTAGAGTCTCCTACAGATTTGTAAGCTCTCCCCTTCTTTAAAGTCTCTTCATGTCATTTGTGAGCTGTTTCCTGCTAGAAATTTTAATATACATTCCAAATTTCTTATTTGGGGAAAGGGTAGAAGATAGTGTAGTCATGATGAGAGTGAGAAAGGTACTTTTTTATATGAAATAAAACCTAGATTTAGTGTTACCTTGTGATTTAATTACACTCTTTATCAAGAGATCCACTATGGTTGCAAAAACAAAGAAAAGCACACAATGAAATTATACATTTGCTAACTTATTTGCTAGCTTTCAGGTACAAACTTACCTAAGTTTATATTTGAGAAATATAAAAACATCTCTAATATTCATGATGGCAAGTTGTGAATTATCTGTTGACTTATGGTACCAGAATTGCAAGTGTAAGTTCACTAGGATAACAGAAAACAATTTACTGGACTCTGTCATTATAGACCTGTAATGTATTCCTTTTAACTGCAAAATACCTGAGCCACTACAGACTGCTACCAGTTGTACTGATGGCTTTCCATCTCTTACTCAGCATTTCTTCCCTCCAGAAGCTACAGGTCCAAGTCACTGTCTCAGATCTCAATAAATAATAATTTATAATACCAGTATTATGCACAAAGCACTGAATTCATTCAACATTTTTTCCTTTTAGAAATTTCTACTGGGCTATCATCAAGGCTCCAGGCACTGTCTTGGTGCTGTATGGTTTGGCACCTCCCTTCAAAAGCTTGTAGCAAAGACAGACAACTAATTACAAGTGAAGTGGCACAAAACTGTTATTCTCCTTTAGTAACATTCACAGAATGGACATCATTGGAAGCAATTATCATGTCACAGAAAGCACACCAGGACTGAATCTAGGGTTTGGGTTTCAGGCTTCCTCTGCCTTGAGCAATTTACCTCAGCCATTTCATCTTCAGTTTTCTTATTTGCAGGACACAGTTGCTTGAAGTGACTGGAACTTAGATATTCAATGTATGCAAGTATGTTAACTTTCTTTTTTTTCCTTGAAGGGGCAAGTTTTCTTCAGAAGTTTAAGAAAAATAATTTTACTGAATATCTATTACATACTGGGCATTGATCATTTCCTTCTATACTCTGTCCCGAGGTGAATGAAAGAGTGTAGGGAAAAGCTGGGCTGTAAAGGGCATGGATGAGGCCATGATTCTGTCCCCGAGTTGACTTCTAGAAAGACTAAGTTTATCATGACTACTTGTACAGATACTGGAACATATGGCAGGAATTTGAATCCATCTGTGGTTTAGTTTATCTTTCTTATGTTCATGTTCTGCTTGTCCTACATTCCCTATCCCTTCAATTCATGATTTCAGTTTTGACTCATTACACTCTGTGGATTTATGATTTATATAAGCCCTCTCAATTCAATTTTATAATAAAGTGAGGTTTTTTTAAGTTTAATAAAGCAGCATTTTACTTGTGTGAAATTCTGCATTGGCAATAATTGTAACCTTCAATCAATCCATGGCTTTCTACTCTTCTATGATGTGCACCTAAAAATAAATACACACACACACACACACACACACACACACACACACACACACACTGAACTTGTGGTTAAACACAATGAACTGGCTATGCATTTCTGTCTTTACTGCCTCCCAAAGTGGCAGCATGAATTTAAGTCAATAACCCACAAGAGCAAAGAGACTCAGAAAAGAGAAAACAGTAGAAGAAAACATTGCACAAACTTTTGGAAGATGGAAAGTAGATGGAGGACTGGTACCTGACTGCAGAGAATGAAGGAAGTTTAAACTTCAAGACCTGCAAAGGGACACTAAGTAGCAAAGCATGCAAGTTTCCTTGGAAAATTCTCAGCATCTAGGGGCAACAGGTCCTATGGGTAGGGAAAGGTAGTAAGGAACATGGCTAGATATAGAGATTGGTTGAGAATCCAGAAAGCAGTTGGACAAGGATCTACCAGAAGTTTAAAAGAAGTTTCCAACTTAAAAGAGACCGAAGCCAAAAGGGAAAATTAAAGGAACTTGGAAGAAACAGAGACAATTCAGGAAGAAAAAAAAAACTATAATATTATAATATCCTCAGGGAGCTAAAACAATATATTGCAATCATAAAAAAGCAAAATACTATGAAAAGGGAACAGTCAGAAAGTAAATGTGGCAGATACAATTGAACATTATCAATCTCTTCTTCCTTCGTAATAGATGACCCATATTGTTGGAGGCAGTGACACACTCTGCTAAAAACTTTTTTTAGACTCCCTTACAGATAGGGTAACCAATGACAAGTAAGTAGAAATATTTAGGTGGGCTTTCAAGAAAGTTATCCTTTATGGCACTGCCAGAACTTCCATAAGGGTCTTGAACTTGATCTCCTTTAAGACCTGGACTAGCCACAAGCAGAGGATGCTTGACATCTTTTAGTCCCAGACAAGGTCAAATGTGGAGGCACTGGCCACATCATAAGCTTGTACCGCAAAATGACCCACCAAAAAAGCCATTTTCCCCAAAAGTGTTTCAGTTCTACGAAGTACAAGTACAGATATGGTTGCTGTAACTAAACTGAATAACGAGGCTGGGAGTGATGGCTCACGCCTGTAATCCCAGCACTTTGGGAGGCTGAGACAGGTGGATCGGCTGAGGCAGGTGGATCACCTGAGGTCAGGAGTTCAAGACCAGGCTGGTCAACAAAGTGAAACCCCGTCTCTACTAAAAATACAAAAATTAGCCAGGCATGGTGGCACGTGCCTGTAGTCCCAGCCACTCGGGAGGCTGAGGCAGGAGAATCACTTGAATCCTGGAGGCGGAAGTCACAGTGAGCTGAGATCATGGCACTGCACTCCAGTCTGGGTGACAAAGTGAGACTCTGTCTCAGAAAAAAAAAAAAAAAAGGAAACCACACTAAACTGAATAACGAAACATGAATTTTAAATAACTTGGTAATAATCAAGGAGCAAGAAACTCATCTGGAATTTATTAAGCCAAGTACATTAATTTCCTTACATAAAAAGCATTACTGTAAATTGTAGTGTGGCTGTCAACCACATTCTTTTACCAGAACTAAGGCCAAACTTCAAAAGTATCAGCTATTTGGCAAGTTATACCTTTCAAGACTTACAAGCATTTTCCAAGTCTAAAAATGTTTGCAAATTGGCTTTAAAACAGGCAGTTTTATAAATTTTATCCTTCGAATAAAACAAAATGCATTTCTTTTCTTCATGGAAACTATAAAAGCTTTTCTTTTCTAAAATAGCTCATTGGGCTCATTTTTAATAAGACATCAGAAAATGTTCTTCTTGGAAAGATCTTAAAGTTGACTCCTCCAAACTAAATACAGCAGAAGACCTAAATTAGTAAGATGACCCAAAGACATACAGGAAAAATACAAAAAGTAATTTAAAGAAAGAAAAGTACATAAAGAACAATTAATAGCTGAGACAAAGCCATAAACATTACTGTATAGAGACAAAAAAATCAATTTATTTGAAAAGAAGAAACTTAATACATGCAATCTATAAACCAATTCTAATCTGAAAATTCACATAGATAGTAGCTAAAAGTAAGGGAATTGAGTCCAAGAACATATGACCATGTTTTCGACAGTGCAATACACAGGAAATTTTTTTCCTTCAATATAAAACATTTCAGTCAAGTCAACTAGCCTTAGATTTTATTAGAAATCCACTGACAAGAAAGAATAGCAAAGAAGTGCAAACATGAGCACAAGGATCTCTGGGGAGAGCAGGATGAAGTATCATTAAGAAAAAAAAACGGGCCAGGTACAATGACTCACGCCTGTAATCCCAGCACTTTGGGAGGCTGAGGCGGGCAGATCTTGAGGTCAAGAGATCAAGACCATCCTGGCCAACATGGTGAAACCCTGTCTCTACTAAAAATACAAAAATTAGCTAGGCATGGTAGCGTGCACCTGTAGTCCCAGCTACTCAGGAGGCTGAGGCAGGAGAATCGCTTGAACCCAAGAGGTGGAGGTTGCAGTGAGCCTAGCTCACGCCACTGCACTCCAACCTGGCGACAGAGCGAGACTCCATCTCAAAAAAAAAGAAAAAGAAAAAAATGTGGCCAGGCACAGTAGTTCATGCCTGTAACCCCAGCACTTTGGGAGGCCAAAGTGGGAGGACTACTTGAGACCAGCCTGGGCAACATGGTAAAACCCCATCTCTACAAAAAACATAAAATTTTAAAAACAAAATATCTCCACTAAAGTATTGTGAACTAAAACCCTGGGGACATAAGAGATATTTTCCCCTATTTTGAAAGGAGAAATAATCTCAGAAGAATACTGAAGTGACCTCCCCAAACAATCTTCAGTGGATCAAGTGTTTCTAAAACAGAGCAGTGTACATCAACTTTAGTATTTTATATAGCAGATGATAATGAGTCTTTCAGATTGGTTGTCTCAGAATATAATTTCCTTAGATATTAAGGGCTTCTACCTCTAATATGTATCCAAGAAGGTAGGTAAGCTGACAGTAGGGAATGATTTTGTAAATACAAATAAATAGCATCTTTGAGAGAATGTTGATTTCTTGGATAGCTCTTCTGACCTCTTCCTTCATGGAGTACCTGCCCCTCTACACTAAAACTTTACCAAGCTTGGTTTGGCTCCCACACCAACACTCCAAATCTATACTTTCAACAAATCTATACTTTCAACACGTGATAGATTACTCTGTTGCCAAGTTTAATGGTCTTACTCCCATTTTCTTTTCCCTTGATCACTTCTAGTCCGGAACACTATTCATAATCCTACTCTCTCTACTTATCTTTCATAAAATCAGTGCTTCCCTTAAGATCTCTAACACATTCCTAGTTTTCTACTAGCTTTTTGACCATCACCGCCCCTTTCTCTTCCTGTCCTCCTAACAGAAGACATTTTCCAAAGTTCAATCCTTAATCCTCTGATATGCAATATGGTCATTCCCCTCCACTGACCCATTCTGTAAAACAGATTCTAACATCATCTGATGGGACATTTTTAAAAAATCAAAATCGATATCCAGTATTTGGTCTTAGGTCTTGTAATTCTTACTACCTTCAGATCAGCACCTTCCATACTAAGTAGACTACTAGCTTCACTGTCCTGCCCACAGAACAATTCAACGAATCCTTGCTCATGCCCACACCACCCCTACCCAACTTGAAAGACTTCCATGTTACCTCCCACGCATCAACTTTCTGATTCAGGTCAAGAAGGACCTTCTCTAATAGTTCCCAAATGCTTTTCCCATTCTCAAGCTTCCTGTAGCTTTGCTGTCCACCATGTCTGCACTTATTCCTATGCTGCCCCATAGCTGTTTCCTCCCTGACAGGACAAGTACCCAGAAGGTACTTCACACCAAGTAAAACAGGAGAAAAACCCAGAGGGCAATGAAGGAAATGTTTTGAGAGGGAAGTTATCACCATCTCTTTCTGATGCTTTTGATAGATTGACAAGTGCTCTATTGTTCCCTTCCTCACCACACACACTGTCTCTAAGGCCCTGTCCCATCCCAACACAAGAAAGTTATTTAATAGTATCTACTTACACTTCCGTGTGAATTTACACTACATGCCATATTAAGTCCAATCACTTTTCTATGCTTTTTAACATTGTGAAACAAGAAAATGAGTAAGACGGAGGCAGATATATGGAACAGCCAATAGCACAACAGGATGTGTACATGCCAAACAACAGGCAGGGCTATGTAAGGGAGGGTGAGAAACAGAGGAAGATGAATGAAGGGGTTGAGAGCTTGATTTTTCTATGAGACAGATCTAAGTTCAAATACTGGGCCTGCCGGCTTCAGCTGCATGGTGTTGGGAAGAAACTTAACTTCTCTGAACCTCTCTTTTCTCATCTGCAAAAATACATATATTATATAAAATGATTTTTAAAAATAATAATACCTTTTAATTCAAGTAACAGCTAGAAACAATCATAAAAAACAAGTTAGGCTGGGAGCAGTGGCCCACGCCTGCAATCCCAACACTTTCAGACACCAAAGTGGGAGGATCGCTGAAGGCCAGGAGTTCAAGACCATCCTAGGCAACATGGCAAGACCCTGTCTCTACAAAAAAATTTTAAAAATTAACAAAGTGTGGTGGTGCACCGATAGCCCCAGCTACTCAGGAGGCTCAGACAGGAGGATCAGTTGAGCCCAGGAATTCAAGCCTGTAGTCAGCTATGATTGCTGCACCACTATACTCCAGCCTGGGTGGAGACCCTGTCTCAAAAAAAAAAAAAAAAAAGAAAGAAAAGAAAACAAGAGAAAATCAGTTTGGACAAAATCAGATCAGGAGCTTCAGCTTCCCTTTTCCCTTCACTTCTGAACAAAATCCTTTTGAAAGCCTCCACCCTCAGTTTTGTGTGCCATTTCAGAATAATTCCATTAAAAAACTGGTATAAAGTGCAACCCTTTCAAAGCATGAGATGGGCCTCTGATGTTTAAGTTGAAGCAGATGATAGAAACTTTCCTGTTCTCAATAAAGTTTCTATTTTTTTTTATTTCTAAACAGGGTAAAGCTATTTTCTGCTTCTCTGTCTCCAATTATGAATACAGACCATGCTCAAACTGCAGGACACAACTCAATCAGTGAGTTGTGAAATCTTTTTCATGAATAACACCCCAAAGTTTCATGATGATGTATTATCCCCTGGCACAGGGTATTCAGCTGAAAAGGCTCATCTTCAAATTTGCTTGGACTTTCTTTTATGATACTTGCTTACTTTCAGGCTTCTTTAGAATTGGTTAAATAAAGTAAATTTGGCATGGTTTAAAGTTGCTTTTTTCAAAAAAACATGTTCAAAACTTGCTCAGTCTAGAACAGAACTTGAAAAAGCAGGGGAAAACCCAACTAATACAACAAAACCAACATCTCTTGTTGAGTGAAGCATAACCAAGAAGTTAGTCATGTCACAGGGCTAAAAAGATTTCAAGTATAAAGAATTAAAAGGTATTTGTTCATTCATCCACTTACTTTTCCCAGGAATATTTATTGAGTGTCTAGTAAATACTTGGCACTATTCACGACTTGAAAACAAAATAAGTCCTTGTACATAAGGCACTTATATTCTAGCGGAAATAGCGGAATAAACAAAAACAAATACACATAGACACACACACACACACACACCTATGTATATAATGCAGAGGCAAGTGATAATAAATGCAATGAAATCTGAGTATGGAGTGACAAGGGAAGATAATGGCAGTAGGAAAGAAGAGGAGGTATCATTTAAGCTAAGACGTAAGTAAATGAAGAAAATGTATTCATGCAGATGGAACAGCAACACAAAGACCTTAAGATAAAACCCAGGCCAGGCATGGTGGCTCACACCTGTAATCCCAGCACTTTGGGAGGCTGAGGCACACATATCACCTGAGGTCGAGAGTTAGAGACCAGCCTGATCAACATGAAAAAACCCTGTCTCTACTAAAAATACAAAAAATCAGCCGGGTGTGGTGGCACATGCCTGTAATCCCAGCTACTTGGGAGGCTGAGGCAGGAGAATCGCTTGAACCTGGGAGGTGGAGGTTGCCATGAGCCGAGATCGTGCCATTGCACTCCACCTTGGGCAACAAGAGTGAAACTCCATCTCAAAAATTAAAAAAAAAAAAAAAAAAGTTCTCTCTACATCTGAGTAACAGCTGGAAGCCAGTATGAGCACAGTAAGCAAGTCGAAGAGTGGGGGTGGAGATGAGATAGGCAAGCCGGGAACAGATCATATGGGGCCCTAGAGACTGCCTTAAAAATTCAGACTTTATTCTTAATGTAATGGAAAGCCATTGTCAGGGGAGGAGGGCGCAGAGTCGGATGTATAATCTCTGACTTACACTTTTAAAGAGGAATCTTGCTGCTATTTTGGAAGCAAGGAGTCCAGGCTACTGCAACAGCATAGGTGAAAGGTGATGGTGGATGTGGCAAGAGGTGGTCAGATTCTGGATCCATTTGAAGATATAGCCTGTTGGATTTCTTCACAGATTGGATGTGTGGTATGATGTTAAAAAAGAACAAGAGTCAATAATGACTTCAAATTTGGAAGCCTGAGCAACTGGCTGAACAATGATGCCATTTGCTAAGATAGAAACATTGGAGAGATGAGGAGATGATTAGGAAGGGGTGGGAAAGGGGTAGTACTAAGAGTTTTGCTTAGAACCCACTGAGCGTGACATGCTTATCAGACCTACAGTGGGAAATCTCAAGTAGTTACTAAAATTTAGGGACAAGGTCAGGGTCAGGAATGTAAATATGGAAGCAATCAGCGTGGAGAAGATATATGAACTTGATAACATCTGCTAGAAAGATACTGTAGGCAAAGAAAAGAAGACATGGAAGATGAGTCCTTGGATGTTCTAACATTCACTGATGAACAATAATTAGGAGGACTGAGCACAGAAAAATTAGAAACACCAAGTGAAATGGAAGAAAAACCTAGAGGGCAATGAAGGGTTTGAGAAGGAAGTCATCACCAACTCTATCTGATGCTTTTGATAGACTGACAATATTTTCTTCATAACACAGGGTAAATTCCAAATGCATTTGATACTGGTCCAGAGGCAATACGTTTGCTTATTGTCCCCTTCTTCATGTAAAATGAAAAACATTAAAACATTAAATCTCATGAGAAAAACTAATTCCACAATGAACTTCCTTTATTTATTTAATTTTATTTATTTATTTATTTTTGAGATAGGGTCTCGCTCTGTCATACAGGCTAGAGTGCAGTGGTACAATCATAGCTCACCGCAGCCTCAAACTTCTGGGTCAAGCCAGAATGAAAGTTTATAATGAGACTGGCAATGACCTCCCTTCCTTTGAATGTTATGAAATGGTGGTATAACAAAATAACTCAGATATTTCTTTCCCTGTTCACACATCTAGATCAAATTTCAATCTAGTCAAGGAGGCAAAAAAATTTTATCAGGGTCCCAGCTTTGGTACTAACAAGCCTAAAACACTAACTAAAAAGTATCCTAATCAAAAACATGACATGTATTTTTGAAGCACTATACAATAACCATCTGTACAATTTCTGGTATGCACGAACTACAGAAATGTAGGTCACATGAGAGAAGATGATACTTTTATAAATTATAGAAGAAACTACTTAGATATCTATTTCCTATTCTAGCTCAAAGTATAACTCAATGTTATATTAAAATGTTTCCTTTTTTAACACTTTAAATGGTTTATTGAACATTAACAATCACTAACATACATTCAAATATATAAACCTAAAGTCGGCAATTGCTCAACAGTGTCCATCTGGCTGGGCATGGTGGCTCACACCTGTAATCCCAACAGGTTGGGAGGCCAAGGTGGGAGGATCGCTTGAAGCCAGGAGTTCAAGGCCAGCTTAGGAAACAAAGCGAGACCTTGTCCCTACAACAAAATTTTTAAATTATCTGGGTGTGGTGGTGTGTGCCTATAGTCTCCCAGCTGTTCCAGAGGCTGAGGCAGGAAGACAGCTTGAGCACGGGAGTTCAAGGCTGCAGTGAGCTATGATCATACCACTGCACTCCAGCCTGGGCAACAGAGCAAGACCCTGTCTCTAAAAAAGAAAAAAATATATCTGTTGGCAATTCTGTAACTTACATATATTTGATGATCATGTACTAATACGGCACTAACATCACAAGAAATAACTTGTGCTGGTGAGCGGAAGTTGTATAGGATTTGTCATGTACAAAAAATAGCTAATCTTACAGCTTTAGGTGGAACAAGGACGGAGAGCCCATTCTTTTCTGATTCTTAATTCCTTAACAATGATGAACTACCTGGCCAGCGCCACTCCCAGGCAGCAGAGTATAATGACTAAGATGGCAGGCTGTGGGCATTCGGATCCTCAGCCAGCATTTACTACTTCTAGTGTTTCCTTGAGTAAATTATTTTACCTCTCACCCCTCTTTTCCCTCATTGGAAAAGAACATCCTCAGTAAGAATAGTCCATTATAAGATATGTGGGTATAATGCACTTGCCACATGTCATGCATGTGGTAGAAATTCAAGAATACTAGCTGCTTTTATTGTCATTTTTTCAGCTTCTCTTAAAAAAAAAACACTTCACTAGCAGGTAACTCGCTATTCAAGTCAGCTCATGTAGTGTAGGGCACTGCTATATTCATAGAAAGATCTTCAGAATACTGAGTCAAAAGTCTCACTGTGACCAGTTATTACCAGTTCTGCCCTCTGAATCCATACAAAAATTTCCTAATCTCTCCTACATGACAATCCCCATTATGCTTGAAGACAGACAGAGGGTCAGGTGCTGTATACCAACATAAAAATGCACTCAAGCACCAAACTGAGCATTCTGTACCCAGTAATGAGAACCAGTCTTTGAGCATACTACTGGGGTATTTCATAATCTTTGGAAAGGCTGTTCATGGGACTGTGCTGTAATTCACCAGAGTAGAACTTGCTATTGTCCATCTCTTTAAGCAAAGCCACAGATTGAATGTGTTAAACCTCTGTTTCAAAGTTGTGCATATATGACAGCTATTATCCCTATTAAGAGCTTTGACTACATCAAACATGTTTTCAAAGATATACAACCAATAATTATTTAATACCTTCTGAAACTAAAGAGTTAAGTACAGGTATGCATAATTCCTCATTTCCTCAGGCTCTAACACATTTTTGATAGTTAACAGGCTTAAGGAGATCTGGAAACATCAATTAAATAGGCCAACCTTTTTATTGGACACAAAACATTCATTCATTCAACAAGTATTTGGGAACATTCTGTCAGGAACTCTGGGGAACAGGAACAACATAAACAACTCAATCAGCAGATGCTAACTAGAAGAACGAGTTCACCTGCAAGGTGTATTTCTTCCAAACTAAAAGGATTGGGCAAATATGTTGATGTCACTTTGCTTTTCTTAACTAGCATTCACAAAGCTAGTGTGTTTCTATAACTCAAATGCTGGTATGTTGAGAACCAGTCTTAACAGGAAGAGGGAAGGTGAAGGAGTGTTTAGTCTCAACAGCAGTCCCTCACTACCCAAAGCACTCTCGGCATCCAGAGAGAAAGAGAGCTAGAGCAATGCACCGAAAGACAAGAACCAACACAGATTGAATAAATCGGCATACTCCCTGGGGTCCAATCCAGGACACCATTCCTCTTTCTCTAAGCCTAGGAGAAGTTTTAAGGATTTGTGCTTTACAAATGGCTTAAGAAACACCAAGGTTTCAAGGCTTCTTCGCAAGGGCCAATTGTGACTTCATTGAACCTTTTGTGGCTTAAGAGGAAATAGAACCCTCCTTTTCTCAGCTTCATCCTTCCTCACTGGAGGAAACCCAATGGGTCATTTGTTACATAAATGTTTAATATCACTAATAATCTGAGAAAAAATAGGACAACATGTCTTTCATCTGTTCATTTAGAGGGAAAATACAAATAACAATTTCTAATTTGGGCCAGAATGTGGAGAAAATGGTGCCCTCAACCCCTGCTCATTCTGCAAACTGCCACAAAGGTTTTAGAGGGTATCTTTATAATGTGTATCAAGAACCGTTTTTTTCACCCAGTGGGTCCACTTCTCTAACTGGTTCAAGAATACTCTATTTATTTATTTATTTATTTACTTTTTAAAGATAGAGTCTTACTCTGTCACCCAGGCTGGAGTGCAGTGGCACAGTTACGGCTCACCACAACCTCAACTGCCCAGACTCAGGCGATCCTCCCACCTCAGCCTCCCAAGCAGCCAAGAATGCAGGTGTGTGCCACCTTTTTTTTTTTTTTTTTTTTTTTGGTAGAGATGGGGTCTTGCTATGTTGACTAGGCTGGTCTTAAATTCCTGGCCTCAAGCCATCCTCCCTCCTTAGCCTCCCAAAGTGCTGGGATTACAGGCATGAGCCACCATGTCTGGCTGACACCCTGTTTTACTAAAGGTACAAGTTCTTTGTATTTTTCCTCACTTTATGAAAGAAGTCCATTTCTAGCTTTCAGTGCATCAGTACGTTGGAAGAATCCAGAATGATTGACACTGCACTGGAACCCTCCCAGTTCCTCAGGAAATACTTTGACATATCTGTTTACACTTCCTGGAGTCAGGCTATTCTAACGGCATTCCTGCCCTGGTTCCTATTTGTGTAAATCAGTTCCTTCCCAAGAGGACTTCATTAATTCCCTCATCTCTTGCCACCCCTCTCTTTTCTAGGATCCTTTCTTATTTCCCATATAAAGATGCTGTGTTCAAGAAATTATAAAACACTGCATAAAGAAAAAAATGGGGCCGGGTGTGGTGGCTCACGCCCTGTAATCCCAGCACTTTAGGAGGCCAAGGCTGGCAGATCACTTGAGGCCAGGAGTTTGAGACCAGCCTGAGCAATACAGTGAAACCCTGTCTCTACCAAAAAAAAAAAAAAGAAATACAAAAGTTAGCCAGGCATGGTGGTACACTCCCAGCTACTCGGGAGGCTGAGACAGGAGAATCACTTAAATCCAGGAGGCGAAGGTTGCAGTGAGCCAAGATCACAGCACTGCACTCCAGCCTGGGCAACAGAGTGAGTTCCTGTCTCAGAAAACAAAAGTAAAAGAAAAAGTGAGAGGAAAAAAGAAACAAATAGGCATTAAGACATTTCTTGGCCATTCAAACCTACCTTGAGAAATCCATAGTACTAGAAATCAAAGAGTGGATGCTTACCAAAGAAATGGAGATTAATGTGCTCTCTGGAAGGAACTCTCTTGAGTGATAAAAAGCATTCTGTATCTTGATTGGGTTCTGGTGACTTGGGCATATAGGTCTGACAAAACTCCTACAATGGTATACTTAAAATCAGTGCATTTCACTGCAGGTAAAACGTTACCTCAGTAAGGTACTTCAGTAAGAATAAATTACTCTGAGCAACTTCTGGAAGCTATGCTGTCTGCAACTTCAAGATTTCACACACGACAAGTTAAAAAAGGCCAAAATGTTCCAGCCTAGTGGGCAGATGGGTTAACCCCACTGCAGCCTCGGCTCAAATGCTGCCTTCTCTGTGTGCTTGCCCTGACTGACCAGGTGGACTCAGGCTGCCTCCTCAATGCCATCACGATGCACCGGATGAACTTCAGTACCTGATGGCACTGCTGGGTTTGTCTGCACATCTGCTTTTCATGGAGGCTGCCTCTCTTTGAAGGTCCAGGTAAGGGCTAAGAATTTGGTGACTGAATCTATAAACCCGTCAAGTTTCTGGCACACAGTAGGCACATAGTAGGTATTTTTGAGATGACTAAATGTAAGTCCCCATGAGGGAAATCATCAAGTGGACGGCAGTAGAGTAAGGTGACTCGGGAAGAGGGTTGAGGCAGAAGAGGAAATGCTAAGTAAATAAACAAGTACACACTGGCATGCAGATGAAGACACATCCTGTAGCAGGTTCCAACCAAACAACTGCAACCAATAAAGCTTAAGACACTGAAGCAAGTTTCTGCTGGAAGAAGAAATGAGTTCTGGTCCTTAAAATCCTATTTTTTAATGTTGTTAAAGCTATAACTTTATTTGTACTTTTATTCAACAAGCATTTAGCAGGCACCATGCCAAACACTCAAGCAATAAATAAGATACGATTCCTGCCCTCAGTTAGCTCATAGACTAATATAGAAAAACGAATAGAACCACACAATGCAAAAAGAGAGATTTATGTAAGACAGGAGAGAAAGGAATGGGTGGGGCTGGAGGTTTGGCGATTTTGGGAAGGCTTCACATAAAGGTTGATTTTAGCTCAAGTATGGAAGAATGAAGAGGTGTTCACTAGGTTACAAGGAATAACAAGTATTCCATTCATACGAAAACATGGAGGTGACAAAACTGCATTCTGTGCAAGGAGAAACACAAGCAATGGATTAGGGAGCATTTGTTGCTCTACCATCAGCATCCATTTAACTGGTACAACTACCAGGGGAGATTAAGAGGAAAAAACTGAGACCTACAGGATTTAAATAGCAGAGCCCAGGCCAGGTGCGGTGGCTCACACCTGTAATCACTATGGTAAATCTTTGTTAAAAATTGTATTACAAAGCAATTCTTATGCTAGCTGCTGCAGCTAGCATAAGAATTGCTTTGTAACACTACAATTTTTAACAAATATTTACCATAGTGTCTTAATATCTGTTGATTGAAATTATATATAATTACTAAAAATACTTCCATTAGCACCAAAGGCAAAAAAGTTAAAAGGTGGTGAACAGCACATCCCCGAAGGATAAAACTTGGGGCAGGTGGAGAAACAGACCAATTAGAAGTGAGGAAGGACTCATATTCTAGTGCCAGACTTGGCAATGAGCTCAGGTTGGCATCCCTTACAGGGTGACAGCAATACTGAAAAAATCCAATCCAGAGATAACAGGAAGGGCAGGTGAGCAGAAAGGTGGTGAATTAAGTTAGCCTGTTCTGCTCCAGCCATAAAAATTACTATTGTATTTGAACCTCAATCTAGAGAGCAACATTAACTTACAGACTAAAAAACTGACCAACCAATGCAAAGTGCTACATACCCCAGTTTCAATCTCATTAGTATTTTGTCTGTTTACCACATGGCTTTCGGATGACCCACAACAGAGAGACAAAGGCAACTATTAGGCATAGAAAATTAAAAGGTACTGCAGAAGAGGCCTAAAATTAGAGTCCAGGCTGTATTTTCCACCACTTCATCAGCCACTGCGTAGCCTTGCTAGAATCAAGCTTCTCCTCTGCCTTTGCCTTGAAACCATTACTTGGTTTTAAACCAGTGTTTAATCATAAACCAGCCCTGCTACATTATTAATGTATCAAACAGCCTTTCCAACTATGTAATAATCCAATATCATTATGTTGAGCGATCTTAAAGGGTAGCTTTCCTACATTTGCTTTGAATTGCAAAATTAGCATGAGTAGACACACCAATTTTTATATATACTCAAGTATATAAGTACAATTTGAAATAAGTAAAAACAAGATTCATAAAGTGATCATAATTGGCAGAATAATAACCACTAGCTCTTACCTCACTCTTCCTCCTCCACTCTAAAAAATAAACTTTGGTTGTGAGAATAACACATTAGCTACTAAAAATCACAGATAGAAAATGGAAATGACAAGGAGATGCTGACATGGAGTCCAGTCATCATTCAAAACTTTACAAGGTTATTGGAGTTGACTTTGGGGTATTCAAAGCTGCAGTTGCGAATATATATGTAATACAGATAGAACATATATTATAATACATATGTATATATGTACATACATATACAATATATACACTTAAAAACCCTCCTATATTTCAGTAATGTGTAAAGGAATAGGGCAAAATGTAGCAAGACTATCAGCAAGCAGGGGAAAGAATACTTTACAAATACACATTGGAATCAACCTTTTATCTTCAGATTAGGGGTTCTTAAAGAGGTTGTGATGATGACAGAGTCATTCATCCTGCTTCTTTTGGCAAGAACAATATTTTAAAATATGTGCTTTGGTGGCAAAGGCAAAGCTGACAAGAGAGATAGATGTGGACACTGGAGAAACAAAATAGCCCTAACAGTGAGCACACTGTGGTCATTTCAAATGCCCAGAGTATACTAAAAGTATCTGAACATGTAAATTACTCATATATACACAATGAAGGCAAACATACTGCCTTGTTCCAAGTGGGATGAAAAAAAATTTTAATTTCATTAACTATATTAAAAGGATATGACAGTACCTTTAGGAAGATCCAGCTCTCTGCTAACGATGAACAAAATACATTATAGAGGTGCCAAATCATTGCTGATAAACACCTTTACATAGACTGCGATGAGAGTGAAAACAGACCACATGTAATATGCGCAATGATATCTTTTATCACAATACACTTTCCCCCCATTCATTACATACAAATTTCTTGGAGAAAACCTACATAATTATGAGCAAGCAGGGACAAAAAAGGAATTCATCGTTTTCCAAAATGTGCATACTAAAAAAAAAGGGAAGGGTGTGGAATCATTCCTATTCATGTTTCCTGAAGCAAATACAAAGCACGCAGATGCAAACTCCACACAGAAGCCATGTATGACCAAAACATGTCCCCACGTCTCCCCTTCTCCCTCCTTCAATCCCCAACACTCAAACACAAAATGGCAAGTTTGTTTTCTAAAATTATGCAGAACACACACTGCTAATGGAAAATTACAGTTGGAAGTCTTGGCTTTTCAAAGTTTATGAATGAGGGAAGTTATTTCTCTTAACTATATTGCTGGAATTTTTCCACTCTCATTTCAATTCAAAATACAGCGTTTATTCTTCTCTCAACTTCCCATGCCCCTCCCTTCACATCTTTCTAAGTCACCTTCAGACCAGCTCAAAGTTTCAATCTAAAAAGACACTAAAAGCTCATTCCTTAGACCTCCCTACTGTCCCGTGGTTAATGCTACTCACATTTCACATTCCTTTATTTAGCGTAAGAAATGTAATTTATTCTTTCTTTCCACACACATACATGTATTTCTTTAAGGAAAAATACATTATTTTCAAGTATCGTTCGCTTTGGAATTCTTAAACATGTAGTTTTTTCCGTGGAATAATCTTTAAGCCTAATTCGAAGTTTTAAATATGTTAACTAAACCAGCACGTGGCATCAATAACTCCTAAATGACTGCAGGGCTTGTGCACGCCTCAATTTTCAGCAGTTGTTCCTGATTCACATCTGCTTGGAAGACTTTTGCCTCGTTTTAAAAGTCATCTTTTGCGTCCAGTGGAATAACGGCTAGAAGTCCTGATGTTAACCTTCTACAGATAAATGTAGCCCCAAGGCGTTAATGAAGAGACCCGCTCTTTTTCAGGGTGAAAGAAGGGAATGGAAGATCTTGTCTGTGAGGCACAGCTGGGAGGGTAACAGCTCTTCAGCGAATGATCCTAGGATCTCAGTCTCATCAAAGCCGAAAATGAAAAAGCACATGCCCCGGCCCCTACCCCCTGGGCTTGGATGCGGCCCCAGAGAAATCATCCTTCCAGGTGGGCCTTCGGTGTGTTACCTCCTCCACCTGCCCTCCCACCCACCCTTCTTTTCCGCTCCCCCCCTCCACACTGAATACACTGGCTTCTCAGGTATAAGGTGAGCATCCCCACTTCTAGGCACCCCGAGGGAATGCACCCGAGAGCCCTGGCCCAGCTCTGCACCGCGCGCTCTGGGCTGTGCCCCGCAGAGACGCCCCGGGCGAGCCAGGGCGGACTGCGCTGCTCCTCCGGGACGCGCGATGCCGGCAGGCGAACGCCCACCTCTGCCCTAGGAAGCCAGTGACACCGTCGGGGGGCGGGGGTTAGGGCAGCGCCAATCTAAGCGGGACATAAGATGCAGGAGCGGCAGAACCCGCAGAGTCCCCAAAAGTGCACAAGCAAACCAGCTTGTTCACGTCGGCTGGGTCGCCGAAGGAGGCTAAAGTGCAGAGTGACTGGGGCTGCAGTCACCTCGCGACGACCGCCCCGAGGCAGTCAACACCTGCGGAAGGGAAAGCAGTGAAAGGCACTCACCTCCACCCATCTCTGAGCCTCAGCGAACGCCACGGAGCAGTTGGCCTCTGCCTCCTCCAGCCCTTCCATGGCTAGGACAAGGGAGGGAGAGAGAGACTCGGGATGCGTGGAGGGGAGGGGTTGTCCCCGCGCGTCTGGGCCCCACGGGCGGGGAGGGCACGCGGGCCTCCCACAACTCCGGCTTCCGCTCCGGCTGCGAAGGCGCCGGGGCTCTAGTTCCCTTTGTTGCGCTCTGCAGTTCGTTAAGGTCTCGAACCTACACGAACGTGAAGACCTGGCTTTCTCTAAACTCCTGAAAGCGACCCAAGGCCCGCGGGGACCCGGGCAGTCAGGCAGGACGCGGGAAGCGAAGCGGGTGCCCAGCGGCAGCGCGCGGCACCAGCCCCGACGACAGTTTGGACTTCAAAAGTCGCAGCGCCGCCGCCGTCCTCCCCGCGGTGGCCCCGCCCCGGCCCACCCCACCGCCCTCCCGGGGCCCGCCGAGTCGCCGCTTCCGTCTGCCCCTCCCTTGGCTCCCCGGGCTCCCGGCCGCGGCCGCCTCTGTGGTCAGACTGTCTGGCCCGGGAGATGCCACAGTCCGCCAGGGGCCGCGGCCCGGGCCCCGCTGGGGTTCCCGCACAGCCCGCGGCTCCGCCCCGAGAGGATGCGCCCCCGCGCCCGCATCCTTCCCGCACCCGCCCGCCTGGCCCCTGCCCTCTCCCGGGCCCCTGAGAGCGGCGCCCCTCCCGGCTCGCGGCCGCCCGGCCCGCTTGACATACCAGAAATAGCTGCACACAATTGTACCTTTCCCGGCCAAGAAACCTCCCCCGCTGGGGAGCGCGGCCCGCCGCCCTCACCTGAGCCCCGGCCAGCTGAGCCCGCTACCCGCTCTCCCGCCGCGATCCGGCCCAGCCGCCAGGTGAGCGCCGTCCCCTCCCACGCTCCCCGCCCCCTGCGGCGGCCGGGCCCTCCCGGCGGCAGAGGAGGGTCGTGGCCTTGGCACGTGCTGCCGCTTCCCCCCGGCGGAGTTCGGCCCCGCTCCGCCCGGCTTCCAGGTGGGTGCGGTGGAAGGAGGGTCCCTGCCCCTCCACCCCGGCTCGCGGCTGAGGGTTCGAGCAAGCTGGAGGGTTCCTTGCATTCCCCACTTCCCGCCCGCTCAGCCCAGTTTAGGCCGTTTGATGATCGCCCTCGCGGTGAGCGTCAAAATTCCCACCCTTCGTGGTTTGAGGACACTCAGGGGACAGCGAGGTGGCAGGTTATGCGGTATCCGCCGCGGCCCTGGGTAGGTGTGCAGGGCCGGGGGGTTGGGGGCGGGGCGGGAGGCACACGGGTCGGCTTGCGCGGGTCTTTTTCACACCAGTGCTCAAATCAGGTCTCCACAAAGGAGCCTACTCATCTGTCTGAGCTCCCTGGTCCCTCACTCCACGCTCCTGAGGCACTATCCAGGCCACAGGTTGATGGCTTCATCTTTGGCGGAAGACAAAGACCGGTTCTTACTCTGCTGAAACGAAAGCAAACTCTTGTTCTTATTTTTCTGGTTGTTTTTATGAAGAAAAACGTCAGATACAGAGCAGAGACTAGTAGAATACTATCTAAAACCTAGCGTCTGTATTTAACAACTGTTTGCCTTTTGCCTTATGTATCACCTTTTCTGCTGGAGGGTTTTATTTTTTAATTTTTTAAATTGTATTTACTTTCTGTTTGTTTTTGTTTTGTTTTGTTTTGTTTTGTTTTGTTTTGTTTTGAGATGGAGTCTCACTGTTGCCGAGGCTGGAGTGCAGTAGCACCGTGTCGGCTCACTGCAACCTCCGTCTCCTGGGTTCAAGCAATTCTCTTGCCTTAGCCTCTCGAGCAGCTGGGATTACAGGCGCCCACCACCATGCCCAGCTAGTTTTTATATTTTTAGTAGAGACGGGGTTTCACCATATTGGCCAGGCTGGTCTCGAACTGACCTCAGGTGATCCACCCACCTCGGCCTCCCAAAGTTCTTGTTTGTTTGTTTGTTTTTGAGGAGTCTCGCTCTGTCGCCCAGGCTGGAGTGCAGTGGTGCAATCTCGGCTCACTGCAAGCTCCGCCTCCCGGGTCCACGCCATTCTCCTGCCTCAGCCTCTCGAGTAGCTGGGACTACAGGCGCCCGTCACCACGCCTGGCTAATTTTTTTGTATTTTTTTAGTAGAGACGAGGTTTCACCGTGTTAGCCAGGATGGTCTCGATGTCCTGACCTCGTGATCCGCCTGCCTCGTCCTCCCAAAGTGCTTTGATTACAGGCGTGAGCCACCGCCCCCAGCCGTTCTTGTTTGTTTTTTAAGTTTTTTAAGAGACAGCTCTGTTGCCTAGGCTGGAGTGCAGTTGCGCCATCATAGCTCCCCGTGACCTTGAACTCCTGGGCTCAAGCGATCCTCTTGCCTCAGACTCCCAAGTAGCTGCGACTACAGGCAAGTGACACCACACCCAGCTAATTTCTGTATTTTTTGTAGAGAGAGGGGTCTCACTATGTTGTCCAGGATGGTCTCAAACTCTGACCTCAAGCAGTCCTCCTGCCTTGGCCTCCCAAAGTGCTGAGCCTGGTGGAGAGTTTTAAAGATAGGAGATTTCACCCCTAAATGGTACAATATACATATCATTTTTAAAAGGACACTCTCCCACTTTGGGAGGCAGAGGCGGGTGGATCACAAGGTCAGGAGTTTGAGATCATCCTGGACAACATGGTGAAACCCTGTCTCTACTAAAAATCCAAAAAAAAAAAAAAATTAGCTGGACGTGGTGGCACTATTTGGGAGCCTGAGGCAGGAGAATCGCTTGAACCAGGGAGTCAGAGGGTGCAGTAAGCCAGGATCACACCACTGCACTCCAGCCTGGGGACAGAGCGAGACTCCGTCTCAAAAAAAAAAAAAAAAAAAAAAAAAGGAAAAGACACGTTCCTACATAAACATAAATAAACATAATGCTATTTTCACACCTAACTAAAACTAACAATAATTATCAACTCATATCAAATTCTTCCAACTGACCCAAAAATGTCTTTTACAGCTGACTTACTCAGACCAGGATCCAATCCATGACCACCCATTGCATTTTAGCACATCTTTTTTTAACCCAAAAGAGACTCCTCCTCCTCCACACTCCCCCTTTTTTTGGAATGACATTGCCTTATTGAAAAAACCAGGCTGTCTTCTGGATTTATCTTAGGCTTCTTTGTGGTGTCTTCAACATATTTCTCTTCTTTCTGTACTTCCTGTGCTCTGGAAGTTAGCTCTAAAAGCTAGATTGGAACCTATCTCTTCTGAGTAAACAGTTCACCACCCACATTCTTCCGTACTGGGGTGATGGTTTTTGTTTGTTAGGCTCATTTTTGTTCAACTACTTTTTATTGGCACTATCTCTAGTCTGTGGGTCCGTTTAGAAAAGCTGATGAGCAAGCTTCAGGAATACAACTGTTCCTGCTGAAAGGGAGGCCACTGACTGAACCATCTCTTTGCCTCTTGGCTGCACTCTGATCAGGCCAAACCCCAAAAGAAAATGGAATGATGAAAGAAAATGGAAAGATATTTCTCTCTTGTCGGCTATTCAAAAACTTTTAAGTGCGGCGAGGCACAGTGGCTCACACCTGTAATCCCAGCGCTTTGGGAGGCCGAGGCGGGCGGGTCACTAAGCCAGGAGTTCAAGACCAGCCTGGCCGACATGGTGAAACCCGGTCTCTACTAAAAATACAAAAAAAGTTAGCTAGGTGTGGTGGCAGCCACCTGTAATTCTAGCTACTTGGGAGGCTGAGGCAGGAGAATCACTTGAACCCAGGAGGGCAGAGGTTGAAGTGAGCCGAGACCACGGCACTGCACTCCAGCCTGGGCAACAGAACGAGACTCCATCACAAAAAAAAAAAAAAAACTTTTAAGTAATTAGTGAATACCTCATATGTGCTAGATGTTATAAGTGACACAAAATTTTAAAATTCTAGATGCTGAATCCTATGCACTATTCAGTCCAGTAGGACATTCTGCAAGCTTCACAAGAATTATTATTATTAGAGTTAATATATACATACATTACACTATTTAAAGCTGCTGCTGTGTAACTAGCTTTGGGGGCGGCAGCCCAGAATGTTAAGAAGTGCACAGCCTTGGGGATCTGAATGCCTTACAATATTAGCAAGCTACCAGAATCACTAAGCTTCAATTTCTTCATCTGAATAATGGATAATACTTCAAAGGATTGTTGTGAGAATTAAATATGATGGTGGATATAAAAGCCCAAGGCATTGCTTAGCATAGAGTAGGCACTCAATAAATGAAGGTTGAAGGTTATTTCCCTTTGGTCTCTCTTTCTAACAGTGTGTCAGATTTTTCCTAAAAAATGGAGATTTCATGTATTTGTTCAAATAGTTATATGGAAAGGCTGGAGGGTTTTGCAAATCCTGTTTCAAGTCAGCTCAGGCACCAATCACTGCTTGGCCTCTTTAATGTTGAAAGTTTGCAACTCAGAAGACCCAAATATAATTCTTTGCCTCCTAATATCAGTCATTAGAATGTTTTACCCTTCTGGAAAGATTTCTACAGCTCTATAGAGAAAGGTACAGCACCTGCCTTAGGAGTTTGAGATGAAATTCACAACAATAAAACATCAAAATTTGTATTTATTTTTCAAAGGAATTTGAGATACCTTTCAATATTTAAAAATGTAAAACAGTACAATTGTCATGTATTGATGCATTACTGATGAACTCTTGATGGGAGAAAGGGGTACAATCTTTCTGGGAGGTCACTGGGCAATAAATATAAAAAGTTTTTCAAATGCCCACACTCTGTCCCAGCAATTCCACTTCTTGGAATTTATACCAAGGACCTAAGCAAACATATATGCACAGAATGAGTAACGGCGGTAGACACAGAGATGCCCCATAGGAGTGTCATATGAGGACTTGCTTCACAGGAGGACTTGCTACTTGCTGCCCAGCCTTGGAGAGTGTGGTCAACAGATACCCCCAGCTATCAGCTCCTTCAAAGTTGGCCTCAGCTGCAGAGTGCAGCCTCACGTGAGGTCCTTCCCCTCCCAGGACAGCCCTCATCTGGTCAGTGAATGACTTAAGATTATAAAAGCCCAGCCATTTCCACCCAATGGGACAACACTGATAGGCCTTTACAGTAGACCCTGGGGTCTGCTGAGGCTGCAGGACTGTACCACAGTTCACCTCCCTCACCCACCCCTGCTTCTTCCCTCTTCCTTTCACAGGGATCCAGCCCTAGTTAATATCTTATACCTCCAATGCCATTTCTGTCAGCTTCTAAAGACTCAACCTGTGATGGCATCAAGCATGACATGTTAAGAATGAGAATCCCAAAGCTACCAAAACCCCCAACAATAGAGATGATGGAGTAAATTATGGTTCCTCCATAGTGAGATATTGTGCAGTCATTAAGAATGTAAAAGGAGGCCAGTTGCGGTGGCTCACACCTGTAATCCCAGCACTTTGGGAGGCCAAGGCGGGTAGATTGCTCAAGCTCGGCAGTTCAAGACCAGCCTGGGTAACATGGTGAAACCCCTACTAAAAATACAAAAATTAGCTGGGCATGGTGGCACGTGCCTGTAATCCCAGCCACTTGGCAGGCTGAGGCCTAAGAATTGCTTGAACCCGGAAAGCAGAGGTTGCAGTGAGCCAAGATTGCACGACTGCACTCCAGCCTGGGCAACAGAGAGAGATTCTGTCTCAAAAAATAATAATAATAATAATAAAAAGTAAAAGGACATTCAGTGGCACAGGGAAAGAGTTAAAATATATTGCAAAGTGAAAAAAGGCAGGCCAGGCACGGTGGCTCACGCCTGTAATCCCAGCACTTTGGGAGGCCAAGGCAGGTGGATCACCTGAGGTCAGGAGTTCGAAACCAGCTGGGCCAACATGGCGAAACTCCATCTCTACTAAAAATACAAAAAGAAAAAAAGAAAAAAGAAAACAGGCAGTGTATAAAGCACCTTATCTGGGTTTGTATTTTTTAAATGTTTAATTTTGGCCACATAGAACAATTTGGGAAAAACATCACTGAACTTTTAACAGTGGCTATTTCTTTTTTGTTTGTTTTGTTTTGTTTTTTGAGACAGGGTCTCACTCTGTCACCCAGGCTGGAATGCAGTGGCACTCATTTCAACCTCAGCCTCCCGAGCTCAAGTGATCCTCCCACCTCAGCCTCCCGAGTACCTGGGACTACAGATGCATGCCACCATGCCTGGTGTAATTTTTGTATTTTTTGTAGAGACGGTGTTTCATCATGTTACCCAGGCTGATTGCAAACTCCTGAACTCAAGCAATCCACCCGCCTCAGCCTACCAAAGTGTTGGGATTACAGGCGTGAGCCACTGTGCCCAGCTGCCAACAGTGGCTATTTCCAAGTGGAGATTTTGTACTTCTCTCTTTTTTCCAAGTGTTTTTACAAAAGACATGTATATTACTTTTATAAATGAGAAAATCTGTATGATACAAAAATAAAACTGGGTTTCCATATCTACAGGTTCTATATCTGCAGATTCAACCAACTATGGATCTGGGTGTAGGGAGTAAGGGAAACAATGAAAAATTACAACAATTAAAAATAACACAAATGTTAAAAAACACAGTATAACTACATAGTATTTACATTGTATTAGGTAATATGAGTAATCTAAAGATGATTTAAAGTATATGGGAAGACTGTGTAGGTTTTATGCAAATACTATATCATTTTATATGAGGGACTTGAGAATCTGTAGGTTTTCGTATGAACAGGGGTCCTAGAACAAATTCCCCCAAATCCTGAGGGATGACAGTATGTCCAAATCTGACTTCTACCTCATCCCACAACCTTCAATCCCCTCCTGCCTTTCCTGATTTGGTAAATGGTACCATGCCTAAAATTTGAGGGTCATGCACGACTTTTTGGTCTCTCATGCCAACCCCATTCCCTGTCTTGTCAATTTTATTTCTACTACCTTAGTTAAGTCTCTCATTAGCGCTCAGCTAGATTTCAGAAACAGTGATGACCTTCTTGAAATCTAACTCTTAAACCACCAACACACTCCCCACTCCTGCCCCAATTAACCCCTCTTTAAAGGACTCCCAGTGGCCTTTAAAAACCATCTGACAATTGCCAGCACATTAAGTGGTGTCCTTCAGGATCTGCTCCTTCCTGCTTCTCTAACCACGACTTGACCTGTGCTTCTCCCTTTTCCAGAAATGTGTTTCTCTCCCTTCCTTTGCCTTGCTTTCTCTTACCTATTCTTCCAGGCTCAATTCAGGCCTCTTCCTTCTCAGAAATCAAAAAGCTTAGCAGATCCTCCTGAGCGAGGTGAGGCATATCTTCTTTATGCAATCATAGCCCCTTTCACAAGGTATTATATTGCCTCTTTTCCTCACTGAACCATAAGCAATTTAAGAGTGCCTGGCTTGGTGCCTGACACATATCTAGTATTCAACAACTGTTTATTAACTGGAGTGTGTATATGTAAAACCTATAACTTAATGTACAGAATTAATAAAGCATTGATAACAGCAGAGTAGAAAATATGATTGCTTAGTGCCACTGATACAAGAATTTCCTTACAGGAGGGTCTCTCAACAGAAAGGCAATTGACAATCTGGGTCGGATAATTCTTTGTTAGGAGGATTGTCCTGTGCATCATAGGATGTTTAGCAGGATCCCTGGCCCCTACCCACTAGAAGCCAGCAGTTTCCCTGTAGTAGAAGTAATAACCAAAAACGTTTCCAGACACCGCCAGACGTCCCCTGGGGGCAAATCAGCCCCTGTGGAGGACAACTGTTCTACACAAAGAAACTGGCTTTGTTAGAAAATGCTTTTGTACAGTAAAAGTGAACCTTAGGCCCAAGTTTCTTGCAGCAAGTGGTGGGGTAGGGTGGAGAGGAGTTAGGATGAATTGGGCAGAAAAAGGCTACTCTGTGTTGTAAAGGAAGAAGGGATGGGGCTGAATGGTGTGTGGACAAAGATTATAAGAGAAGAGGTCCTGTTGGCTGGAAATAATTGAAAGAAGAAACAGATATACTGGGAGTTCTTCTAATAAAAGAACTGAATTTTGTACTTTGATTGGTTATGATTCAAAAAAGCGTCTGCCCTTATAAGTTCAGAAATAACCAATATATGGATTATGTGTGTATTTCTCATGCTTATATGACAGCTTAGTTAACACAAAGAAGGACTAGAAGGTAGATTAAAAATAAGTTTAATAAGAATTATACCTATCCCATCTCTACCCCATTTCTACCCACAAAAAATACATCCTTCAGTGTCAGTAATAAAAAGATGTGATGTTGTCAGTACTTACATAATGGTATTCAGACAAGAAGGTTCAATTCCATACTTGGAAATCAAAGCCAGAGGAAAAGGAAGCCAAAATGTTACAGATAATGATTAAGAAATGAACATAAGAGGGAAAACATGTATGCACCAGAAAGCAAAAGGAGAAAAACAAAGTGAATCCCATATCAGAACATTCCTCCAAAAAGAAGACAAACCTCCAGGAAGTTTCCAGTGCAGCTTTAGGATGATGAATGCTTCACCCAGTGGACAAAGGCAAGGGTCCTAAATTTGTCTTCTGAAGCTACTGGATTGTTAACTGAGAAGGGATAGATGAGAAGCCCTCAAGTTCTTATCGACCTTTGTCTCATGTACACAGACATCTCATTAAGAGATCAACTGAGATGGTAACTTTCAAAACATGGGACCAACCCCATAATTTGAAAAGCAGTTGGTTGTTTTCTTCCTACTATAAAGATCTTAAGAGCTTTTTTTGAGGTTTTTGTGTTTTTTTTTTTTAACAAGTAGAGGGGTTTCCTATCATTGAACTAAAATCATTTAACATAAATCCAAGACCTTTTTTAAAGGTCCCCCATTCTAGCTAGAATTGCAAAACCACATTATAATTCTCTAAGTGATAGCAGTGAGATCAAAAGGACCTACCCTAGAATTAGCTTTAAAATAAACTATTGCAGCTTCTGGGAAAGAGGAAGGAGAGAATGTATGTTTACTAAGCTTCTCTTCCTGAAGCCCATGAAACGAAAAAAAAATAAAGTCTGTGTTTCCCGTAGGATATCTTTAGTAAGGATAATCAAAGATAAAAATAGTCAAGTCCAGTTTTCCCTAAAATACATTTATTTGTGTGTGTGTGTGTGTTTGTTTATGTTTTGGTAAAGAATTTCCACCTGATCTCTCATTAACTTTATTTGGTAAGAGAAATAACCTTACTATCAATTCAAATTGTTTTGCTAAAAAGGCAGGGAAAAATATTTAAGCACAGTATGCACTATATTATTAATACAGATACTCCTCAACTTATGATGGGGTTACTTTTGATAAACCCATTATAAGTTGAAAATATTGTTAAGTATTTAACCTACCAAACATTATAGCTTAGTCTAGCCTCCTTAAACATCCTCACAACACATACATTAGCCTACAGTTGGGCAAAATCATCTAATGCAAAGCCTATTTTATAATAAGTTGTTGAATATCTTATGTAATTTATTGACTACTGTACTGAAAGTGAAAGAATGGTTGTATGGATACTCTTAAGTACGGTTTTGGCTAAATGTGCATCTCTTTTGCATCATCGTAGTCAAAAAATCGTAAGTTGGAGGACCATCTGTACTTTAGAATTGTAATTGCAATTCTTGTTTACATTCTGAAATTGGACTCAGAGAGGAAACAACCCATACATTAGAGGAAATTTATACTTCCTATAGAAGTTTAAACTACAATTTTTATAATAACCCCTTCATTCCCCTATTCTATGACTACAAGGTGGATAGCAGTAATATTTTAGCTTCAAAAAGGAAAGAATAATACCTATGGTCAACAATAATGTATCGTACACTTAAAAATATATTGGCTGAGTGCGGTGGCTCATGCCTGTAATCCCAGCACTTTGAGAGGCTGGGGTGGGCGGATTGCTTGAGCTTGGGAGTCCGAGACCAGCCTGGGCAACATGGCGAAACTTCGTCTCTACAAAAAAATACAAAAATTAGCCAGGTGTGGTGACGTGCAACTCTGGTCCAAGCTACCTGGAAGGCTGAGGTGAGAGGATGGCTTGAACCTGGGAGGTAGATGTCACAGTGAGCTGAGATTGTGCCATTGCACTCCAGCCTGGGTGACAGAGTGAGACCCTGTCTCAAAAAAATTTATATATATATATATAATATATATGTTAAGAGGGTAGACAATATGGTTTGGCTGTGTCCCCACCCAAATCTCAATTTCAATTGTATCTCCCAGAATTCCCATGTGTTCTGGGAGGGACCCAGGGGGAGGTAATTGAATCATGTGGGCCGGTTTTTCCCCTGCTTTTCTCGTCATAGTGAATAAGTCTCACGAGATCTGATGGGTTTATCAGGGGTTTCTGCTTTTGCTTCTTCCTCATTTTCTCTTGCTGCCACCATGTAAGGAGTGCCTTTCACCTCCCACCATGATTCTGAGACCTCCCCAGCCATGTGGAACTATAAGTCCCATTAAACGTCTTTTTCTTCCCAGTCTCGGGTATGTCTTTATCAGCAGTGTGAAAACGGACTAATACAGTAGATCTCATGTTTACCACAATAAAATTTTCAAAAACATTTTTTAAAGGAAAGGATTAAAGAGTACAGGACTGACTGGCCTGGAGATAAGAGACCAAGTTGTATTCCTAGATTTACCATTATTGTTAATCTGGGCCTCCATTGTAAGAGCCCAGTGATCTTAAGCGAACCTCACCCTCACCTCTACACAATGTGAAGAAACCTTACAAACAGCTATGAAATGAAGTTCTTGGCTGGTCTTCACAGCTTCAGCATGGCCTTGAAATCTTCGTGTGTACCAAGACAGGTCTGGTACTTCCTCAAGAGCTGAAAATAATTATAGGAGAAAAGGGAAGCCTTGGAGCCAGCTCCATCAGAAGATTCCCTATGAAACAAGGTAATGGAGTTTCCCTGAACATGAAGATCGGTTCAGAATGCTCATAAGGATCATGAACAACACCAGATGATCTCTAAAGTAAACCATCAAAGTCTCTCCCAAGCTCTTGGACTAGGAATGTTCTATCCATGACTCTACTATAAATCTCTTTGGTCTTCGTGGACAGAAATAGACCAGTGAAGCCAAACTACTCCAAACTCACGTAACTGAAATTCCAAAAAAGCAAATCTGTGACCCTAAGGCTTTGTCTGGACAGAGGGAGAAGACATCTATCTACAGCTTCATTTATGCTTACTGAGAAAATCAACTGGAGAGGAAGCCCTGCCTAAGACTTTAATATGAATCAAAACCACACACACACATGCACATGCACACACACACACACACACACACACACATGCACACACACTTGCATCTTCTGCTGGACCTTTACATACTCAAAGGGCTATCAGCCTCTATTATTTAAAGAAGTGCTGTCATAGTCTCTATTTGACTTCTGCGGAGATAGGTCTCTGGGCATGGTCTAGATAATCAGAAGAATATGAGAAGAAAGGCCAGAAATAATACTGCATAAATATAAAAGGCTATTTACTGTGGAAAAGAGAAATTCTTTGCTAGACATATTTGCCTTAGAGAAATGTCTCTGTCCTTTATTATGTGTTTAGACTGTCCAATCCTTGAGAATAACTGTTTGACCTTGGGAGATCTTGTGTGAATGTGTTTTATTCAAAAGGTACTCAGAGAAGACCAAAAGAAATCAGGAAGAATAAAAAAGGCCATGATTACTTCCTACTGGCTGAGAAACCTCAACACAGGCAGCATTTCTCATGCCGACCACCATCCTATATTGTGCTATAGATATTCACCACTGTTCCCATCACTTCTACTACAACTCAGACTCTAGAATATGTAATCCTGTGTGGATCCTTGTGTCTAAGAGTGTTGATATGGTTTTGCTGTGTCTCCACCCAAATCTCATCTTGAATGGTAACTCCCACAATTCCCATGTGTCATGGGAGGAACCTGGTGGGAGGTAATTGAATCATGGGAGTGGGTCTTTCTTGTGCTGTTCCCGTGATAGTAAGTCTCACAAGATATGATGGTTTTAAAAACGGGAGTTTCCTGCACAAGCTCTCTTCTCTTGTCTGATGCCATGTGAGACACATCTTTCACCTTCCACCATGATTGTGAGGCCTCCCCAGCCACGTGGCACTGTAAGTCCATTAAACCTCTTTCTTTTATAAATTGCCCAGTCTCAGGTATGTCTTTATCAGCAGCTTGAAAACAGACTAATACAGGTGGGGTTTCTCTGAACATGAAGTTCTAATAAGTTCCATAGTAAAAACAAGTCCTTCAGGTAGTGAGTAAAATATTCTTAAAGTAAGGGGGAAATTGGCCCTATGAAACTTTTATGAAAGGTGCTCTCTCCTACAAATGAGAGAAGGTGGACCTTGACATACAGCAGAGAGGCTAGGAAGCTGGATAAAGCTGCAAAGCATCTAATGTTTTTGCCTTAGATTTTGGAAATAGTCATATTCAAAATATAGGTTTACAGTAGTGCTGAGCATTGCTGTATTCTAATTTTCTCCTGAAGTGTGGAAACCTTCAGTAAAGGTGGATACATAGCTCTACTTTATGGCACCTAGAGGGTATGCCAACACCCAACCAGAGGCAAAGTGCTACCTGGGAAGGATCACTGTCTGTCATAGATGAGGAGACTGAAATAGAAATTGAGAATTCAGCAGAAGCAAACCATTGAAGCAGAGATGGCTGGAGGTACACTCTTGATAATCCATGGAGATACTGGAGGAAGACTGGGATCGTCATTCAAAGCATTCTATTTGAAAATTATAGGAGGTGTAACTCCAAAAGGTTGAATATTTAGGAATACCCAAAAGACACCTGGTTATTATGCATTATAAACTGATTGTATTCTCCCACTAGTAGAACAGGCTGGGAAAAAGAGCATTACCCATCACATCACCTTCCTAGTTACACCACAGTCAGATTTCAGTAATTTTTATCTCCCCGTAACATTTCTGAAAACAAATCTAAATTGGTAAATTTCATCAGCCAAAGTTTTCATTGTTTTGAAAGAAAAATTTTACTTGATGATACCTAAAATAAATTACCAATTTAATTATTTTTTTTTTTTTAATGCTTGGTCAGGCACAGTGGCTCATGCCTGTAATCCCAGCACTTTGGGAGGCTGAAGTGGGTGGATAACTTGAGGTCATGAGTTCCAAACCAGCCTAGCCAATATGGAGAAACCCTGTCTCTACAAAAGTACAAAAACTTGCCTGGTATGGTGGCATACACCTGTAATCCCAGCTACTCGGGAGGCTGAGACACGAGAATCACTTGAACCCGGGAGGCAGAGGTTGCAGTGACCCTAGATGGCACCACTGCACTCCACCCTGGGCAACAGAGCAAGACTCCGTATCAAAAAGAAAAAAATGCTTTGGCCTTTCTGATTCTGCCTTAGAAAATACAGAAAAATATTACCTTAATGAGAATAGTCCTTCCTGAATTTTGTTCAGTCCTCAAAATTATATCTGTGTAAAAAGTCATGATTAGGAAAGTTAAAAAACCAATACAGAAAAAAAATGAAAAGTAATCAACAAATATTTATTGAGCAACAACAAATATTTTACTGAAATTCCAAAGCATGATACTATTTAGTAGAGATGCCAAAATAAATAAATGCTGGTCCCCAAAAGAGTCAAACACAATTATATGCCCAATAAAATAGTAACAATATTTTAAGTTTAAATTTTAGAGGCACTTAGAATTATTTTTGCTTTTCTAGTGGTTTGCAGGAATTTCATATCATTTTTTAAATAACTGCAATATCAAATTAGTCTTTCATTTTAGTTTCTTCAACAAAATAATTTTATAGTAACATTTTGTGCCTGCAAAATTCTTTGCCAAAGAGGTATTTTGTTCATTAAGCCCTAGTGGCCTAAGAGAAGTTTATCGAATACTAAACCAAAAAAAGCTGGAGTTATTAACTTTAAGATCTGCTTTCAGTTGGTATCCTGATATATTCAGCCAACGCAATAAAACACAATAAAATCTTCTTATGCATAAAATTGTTGAAAATCAAGACCCATTAGTATGCACTACACTTACTGCCAGATCTATTGAATATATCTAATGTCAGGTTAGGAGAGTGATCGTAAATCAGTGTGACACCTGCCCTAAGCATCCATTTCTGGTTTGATCCCCTGAAAGAGCTCTAGACTTATAGTTCTTAAAGTACTTAAAGGCATTATCAGAGTAGAAACATTTTAATTATGAAGGTAGTACTTACAGACAATTACAAGATTTAGAAAAAGAATGAGAAAAGACTTTTCAAAGTAAATTCCAGCAGGACTTAATAATAGTGGACACAGAAACCTAAAGTGGCTTTGAGTACCTCAGTTGATGTTTCTGCATGCACTTACCACCTTGTATGTCTTATGCTGTTATAATATTTACTACAACATGTCTTATACTGTTTTAATATTTTCTCCTACCAAGGCATATTCTACCAGTGCAAGAGATCAACAATGATTACAAAATTGGTAAGAAGGAGTTAAAAATTTCCAGTCTTGTGGTTACTGACAACAAAAGTTCAGGTTGAAAATGCCTGGGAGGGGGATGAATACCCCATTTTCCATGATGTGATTACTATGTATTCCGTGCCTGTATCATAGTATCTCATGTACCCCATACATATATGCACCTACAAAGTACCCACAAAAATTTTAAAAGAAAAAAGAGAAAAAACAAGAAAATGCCCGGGGATAGTCTACAAAGTTGACTTAATTTTATCTCAGTTGCAGTATTTACTTCTTGCCTTCCTACTGACCTCTTTTCCACCTACATGTGTTCCTAAAGAAAAGCCAAATGGAGATGCTCTGCCTTAGTTCTTTCAAAGTAATAATATAAAAGTATTCAAGGAACTATTATTACCTTTTTTGCTGCAGACTCTGTCCCTGAGATACAGCCAACCCACACAGATGCAGACATGAGCACATATCAGTTGCCTCCAAATTTCCAGAGCTCCGAGCTCTGTTCTCTGGAAGAGAACATCATAGGACATCCAACTGTAAAACGTGAAAATATGGCATATCCTAATTTTCTTCATAGCAGTTGTAATAAAAAAATTAAAATAGCTTTAGACCGTACCCATATATTGAACTTATTTGCACTTGCCCTATCACTGTAGCACCATATTGAAATTCATCAAAATTCAAATAGCTATAAATGAAACATGAATGGTAATAATAACTTTAGATGTTGAAATAATTGCTCAGGGTGATTTAGATTCTATAAACATAGTTATCAAAAAGAAAAACAGCATTCTTTGCCCCCAAGAGTAAAAGATTCACATAAAAATGTTTTCCTCATGAGCAGTGTGCTTGGGTATAGTATTATTACAGGAAAGATAAAAATTCCAATCATCCTTGGTAAATTGCATGTCTGCTAACTTCAGCTATTTTGGGATTTTTAAAAGTTAAACCATTTCCGAGTCACAGAAGAAATATGCACAGTTCCCCTGTGCATGGAAACAAAATGCAATCTATTCATTCCATCTCCTTATTTAAATTCTTTAGAAAATTAGGTGAATCTGATGATTTATGAAACAATCTTTGAGACTACTTTCACTATAGCTGATTGCAGTCTTAGGACGATGGTAATAATAGATAACATTTGTGACTGCTGGACTTTATGTACTTCATTTATAATTCTCATGTAAAATGTACATGAGAATATTTTTGCTTAAGGTATTAATTTGCCTAAGACAACTCAGAGTAAGTGCCAAGAATAAAACCAGGTCTCACACCAAAGTTTGAGCTCTACCCATGAAGCAATGACTTTTACATAATTGTTAGAGATCCTAATAATGTATTTTTTTTTGTACAGCCACTATATTTTATGCCATAATCTCAATATCATATTCTCAATCAAGCACTGTGAGAACACAGAAATTCTATATTACCAAGACCAGAAGTTTCAAAGTGAAGCAATTTTCATAACGCAGCCACTTAGTGGGAAAGCCACTTAGTGGGAAAGCTTATCAATTGGATATTTGGAAAATTATTTTTCTTTCTTAAAAAGTTATATCAGATGAGATCTCCAAACTCAATGCAAGAGGTGTGTATTTCTCCTGCCCAAGATTCACTTCCCCAACTGGGTTCTAGAAAATCACTATAAGTGTGACCCTGGGGCCAACAGCCTTAAGATTATCTGAGTGCTTGTTAGAAATGCACAATCTCAGACCTCACCTACCAGCTGAATCAGAATTTGCATTTTAACAAGACCTGGAATCTCATATGCTCATTAATGTTTGAAATGTCCTGCTACCCTACCCCACCCTAGGTTCCTAATTATTCCACTTCTTTCCTGTTTTCTTAATTTCTATTTGTTTTTATTTTTTTCCTCATATGAAAACATTATTTTTAAAAGTCCTCTGCTGATTCTGCACCCTCATTCCCCTCATTTCTCTTCTTTTCTCAACCAAGTGTCATGAAGGAGGTTTCTATACTTCCTGAATCCATATCTTCTGTTCACTTCTCAACACACTGCAGTATAGTTTAGTCACCTACCAAATATCTGGCCGTTTCTATGTGCCAAGAACTGTATTAGACTCTGAGGATAAAATGGTATACAAAAGACATGGTCCTTGTCCTCAAATTACTATCCTCAAAATCATTTTGATATAGATCACCACTGATGTCTTGAATTGTCAATTCTGGGAAGCACTCTTTATTCATTATCAATAAGAGAGCACAGCTGTCCTCCTTAAGCCAGATATTGAAGAGATTTTGCAAAAATATAACAGTGCCACTTTTCTCACTAACTTTATTAAGAAAATATTTTTGGGGCCGGGCGCGGTGGCTCATGCCTGTAATCCCAGCACTTTGGGAGGCTGAGGCGGGCGGATCACGAGGTCGGGAGATCGAGACCATCCTGGCTAACACGGTGAAACCCTGTCTCTGCTAAAAATACAAAAAATTAGCCAGGCGTGGTGGAGGGCGCCTGTAGTCCCAGCTACTCAGGAGGTTAGGCAGGAGAATGGCGTGAACCCGGGAGGCGGAGCTTGCAGTGAGCCGATATCACACCACTGCACTCCAGCCCGGGCAACAGAGCGAAACTCCGTCTCAAAAAAAAAAAAAGAAAATATTTTTATAAAAATGTTATTTATGTCAACATATGATAAGCTTGTTTTTCATTTTAAATGAACAAATATTCCTAAAAGTTATTTTAATTTCTAATAGATAGAGATCCACAACTCTCTAAGCTGCTCAATAATTTTTAGAGTATAAGGGGCTCCTGATGTTAAAAAGTTTGAGAACAACTATGTTTCATATTAAAACCAGGTTGGTTGCTCAATGATATAGTTTGGATATTTGTCTCTGCCCAAATCTCATGTTAAAATGTAATTCCCAATGTTGGAGGTGGGGCCTGGTGGGAAATGTTTGGATCATGGGGACAGATCCCTCGTAAATGGCATAGCACCATCCTCTTGGTGCTGTCCTTGCACCAAAAGTGTGAGCTGTTGCAAGATCTGGTTGTTTAAAATTGTGTGGTACCACCCCCTCACCCTCTCTCTTGCTCCTGCTTTCACCATGTGATGTGCCTGCTCCCTCTTCACCTTTTGCCATGATTGTAAGCTTCCTGAGGCCTCCCTAGAAGCCTCTAAGCATTGCTATAGAGCCTGCAGAAGCTGTAGAATCTGCAGAACCATTAGCCAGTTAAACCTCTTTCCCTTACAAATCACCCAGTCTCAGGTGTTTCTTTATAGCAATGCAAGAATGGCCTAATACACTCAATAAATCCCCAGTATCTACATAGGCATCAACTCTAAAATGTATAATACATATGAATAAGTTGCTCTAAACATTTTCTCTCTGATGTTTGATTAATTTAGCTAAAGAAGTCACTTTCAAGAGATCTGGAGAAGTAAGATGGCCAAATAAAAGCCTCTACCAATCATCCTCCCCACAGGAACACCAAATTTAAGAACTATCTACACAAAAAAGCACCTTCATAAGAACCAAAAATCAGGTGAGCAATTACAGTATATTGTTTTAACTTAAAATCACTGCAAGAGGCACTGAAGAGGGTAGAAAAAACAGTCTTGAATTGCTGACACCATCCTTCCCCTATTCCCCAGCAGCAGTGAATCTGTATGCTTGGGGGAGGGAGAGTAGAGTGATTATGGGACTTTGCATTGAAACTCAGTGCTGCCCTGTCACAGTGGAAAGCAACACTTGACAGAACTCAGCCAATGCCCACAGAGGGAGCATTTAGACCAGCCCTAGCCAGAGTGAATTCATCCATCTCAGTGGCTGGAACTTGAGTTCTGGCAAGCTTTGCCAGTGCAGGCTCAACTGCTCTGGAATCCTAAATAAACTTGAAAGGAGATCCAGGCATCAAAGCCTGGACTTCGGGGGCACATGACCTAGTGGGGGACATCAACCAGAGCAGCCAAAGGAGGGTTTGCAGCACCCCTCCTCCAAGCCCAGGGAGCATAGCTCACAGCTCTGAAAAACTCCTTCCTTCCACTTGAGGAAAGGGAAGAGTAGAGGACTTTGTCTTACAACTTGGAAACCAGCTCAGCCACAGTAGGATAGTGCACAAGGCGGAGTCATGAGACCCCCATGCAAGAAGCTAGCTCCCAGATGACATTTCTAGACACGTGCTGGGCCAGAAAGGATACTGTTGCCTTGAAGGGAAGACTTAAAAGCCCTTGGGCCCTGAATAATCAGCAGCAGTAGACAGGTAGTACATGCCATGGGCTTTGAGTGAGACTCTGAGATGTGCTGGCTTCAGGTGTGACCCAGCACACTCCCAGCTATGGTGGTATGAGGAGAGACTCCTGCTTCAGAAAAACAGAGGGAAGAGTAAAAGGGGTAGTTTAGGTACCGCTCAACCATAGTGGGATGGAGCACCAAGAGGGCTCTTGTGGTCCCTGATTCTAGGCCTTAGCTCTTGGACAGCATTTCTGGACCTGACCTGGGCCAGAGAGGAGCTCACTGCCCTGAAGGATAAGTCCCAGGCCTGGCAGCAATCAACCACAAGCTGACTGAAGAGACCCTAGGGCTTCAGTGAACATCAGTGGTAGCCAGGCAGTACTCACTATAGGCTTGGGGTGGTGGTGGCCACAGAGAGAGACTCCCCTGCCTATAAAAAGGGGAGGAAAGTGTGGGAAGAACTTTGTCTTGTGTTTTTTGTGCCAGCTAAGCCACAGAAGAATAAAGCACCAGGTGGATTTTAAGATTTCCAACTCCATGCCCTGGTCCCCAGATGGCATCTCTGGATCCACCCAGTGCCCAGGGGCACTCACTAACATGAACGGAAGGACACAACCTGGATGGCTTTGCCACCTGTTGATTGTAGAGCCCTAGGGCCTTAAGCAAACATAGGTGGTAGCCAGGTAGCAGTTACACCAGGCCTGGGGCAAGACCCAGTGCTGTATTGGTTTCAGGTCTGACCCAGCACAGTCCCAGTGGTGGTAGCCACAGGTGTTCTTGTGTTACCCATCTCCCAGCTCCAGGCAGCTCAAAACAGAGAGGCAGGGGAAGGCCATTTGTTTGGGAGAGAGTAAGGAAAGAGAACAAGAGTCTCTGCCCAGTAATCCAGAGAAGTCTTCCAGATCTTATCCAAAACCACCAAGGTGGTACCTCTATGAGTGTGCAAGAACCACAGTGTTACTAGGCTAATGCAGATATGGTTGCAGTGACCACTTAGATCACAACACCCAAGTCCCTTCAAATACCTGGAAAGCCTTTCCAAGAAAGGTGGGCAAAAACAAGCACAGACTCTGAACACTACAACGAATACCTAACTCTTCAATGCTCAGACACCAATGAACATCCACAAGCATCAAGAGAATCCAGGAAAACATGACTTCACTAAACCAAATGAGGCACCAGGGACCAAGCCTGGAAGGACTGAGATATGTGACCTTTCAGATAGAGAATTCAAAATAGCCGTTTTAAGGAAACTCAAAGAAATTCAAGATAACACACAGAAGGAATTCAGAATCCTATCAGATAAATTTAACAAGGAAATTGAAATAATTAAAAAGAATCAAGCAGAAATTCTGGAGTGGGGCCAGGTGCGGTGGCTCACACCTGTAATCCCAGCACTTTGAGAGGCTGAGGCAGGCAGATCGCTTGAGGTCAGGAGTTTGAGACCAGCCTGGCCAACATGGTGAAACCCTGTGTCTACTAAAAATACAGAAATTAGCCAGGCGTGGTGGTGCATGCCTATAATACCAGCTACTCGGGAGGCTGAGGCAGAAGAATCGCTTGAACCCAGGAGGCAGAGGTTGCAGTGAGCCGAGATCACCCCACTGCACTCCAGCTTGGGTGACAAAGTGAGATTCCATCTGGGGAAAAAAAAAAAAACAGGCTGGGCACAGTGGCTCATGCCTGTAATCCCAGCACTTTGGGAGGGTGAGGTGGGCGGATCACCAGGTCAGGAGTACGAGACCAGCCTGGCCAACATGGTGAAACCCCGTCTCTACTAAAAATATAAAAATTAGCTGGGCATGGTGGTGGGTGCCTGTAATCCCAGCTACTCAGGAGGCTGAGGCAGGAGAATCACTTGAAACCAAAAGGCGGAAGTTACAGTGAGCTGAGATCGTGACACTGTACTCCAGCCTGGGTGAAAAAGCAAAATTCCATCTAAAAAAAAAAAAAAAAAGAAAGAAGTTCTGTAGTGGGAAAATGCAACTAACATACTGAAGAATACATTCTCATAATAGCAGAATTGATCAAGCAGAAAAAAGTGTAGAATTTTTATTAGTTTTCTCTTTGCTTATTTGCTAGCTTGTTTACGCAATGAGTGTTAAGTTGTTATCTGTTTAAAATAATGAGTTATAAGATAGTATTTGCAAGCCTCATGGCTTGTAATCTCAAACCAAAAAACATACAATGGATACAGAAAAACATAAAAAGCAAGAAACTAAAACATACCACCAGAGAAAATAATTTTCACTAAAAAGAAGGAAGGAGGGAAAGAAGGAACACAAGACCACAAAACAACCAGAAAACAAATAATAAAATGGGAGGTGTGAGTCCTTACTTATCAATAACAATATTGAGTGTAAATGGACTACACTCTCCAATCAAAAGACACAGAGTGGGTGAATGGATAAAAAATAAGACCCAACAATCTGTTGCCTAAAAGAAACACACTTCACATATAAAGACACACACAGACTAAATATAAAGGGATGGAAAAAGATATTCCAGGCAAATAGAAACCAAGAAAGATCAGGAGTACCTACACTTATATTAGACAAAATAGCTTTCAAGACAGAAATGATAAAAAGAAACAAGGAGGTCATTATTTAACAGCAAAGGAGTCAATTTAGCAAGAGGATATAACAATTGTAAATATTTATGCATGCAACACTGGAGCACCCAGATTTACAAAGCAAATATTTAGACCCTAACACAATAATAGCCGGAGACCACAATACCCCTCTTTTAGCACTGAACAGATCATCCAGACAGAAAATCAACAAAGAAACATCAGATTTAATGGGCTCTGCAGACCAAATGAACTTAACAGATATTTACAGAATATTTCATCCAACAGCTATAGTATACACATTCTTCTCCTCAGCACATAGATCATTCTCAAGGATAGACCGTTTGTCTTAAAACATTTTAAAAAATGAAATAATATCAAGTATCTTCTCTGACCACCATAAAATAAAACTAGAAATCAGTAACAAGAGGAATTTTGGAAATTATACAAACACATGGAAATTAAAGTGTGTTCTTGAATGACTAGTGGGTCAATGAAGAAATTAAGAAGGAAATTGAAAAACTGAAACCAATGATAATGGAAACACAACATACCAAAAGCAGTACTAAGAGGAAAGCGTATAGCTCTAAGTGCCTACATCAGAAAAGCAGAAGAACTTCAAATAAACAATCTAACAACTATTCTTAAAGAACTAGAAAAGCAAGGGCAAACTGAACCCAAAATTAGAAGAAATAATAAAGTTTGGAGCAGAAATAAATGTATCTGAAACAAATAAAAAAAGATCAATGATACACAAAATCGGTTTTTTGAAAAGATAAAATTGACAAACCTTTAGCCAGACTTGCATAAAAAAAGAGAAGACTCAAATAAAGACAGATATGAAAAAGGAGATATTACAACCAATACCCCAGAAATTCAAAGGACCATTAGAGGTTACTATCAGCAACTATATGCCAATAAATTGGAAAACATAGAAGAAATTGGTAAATTCCTAGACACATACAACGTAATAAGATTGAATCATGAAGTAATCCAAAATCCAAACAGACCAATTACAAGTAATGAGATTAAAGCTGTAATGAAATGTCTCCCACCAAAGAAATGCCCAGTACCTGGTGGCTTCATTGCTGAATTTTCCCAAATATTTAGAGAAAAACTAGTATCAATCCTATTCAATCTATTCCAACAATAAGGGGAGGTGGGAATAATTCCAAACTCTTTCTACCAGGCCAGTAATACCCTGATACCAAAACCAGACAAAAAAAAAAAAAAAAAGAAAGAAAGAAAACTACAGGCCAATATCCCTGATGAACATTCATGTAAAAATCTTGAACAAAATACTAGCAAATCACATTTGACAACCCATTAAAAAGTTCTTTCATCATCACCAGGTGGGATTTATCCCAAAGATGCAAGGATGGTTCCACATATACAAATCAATCAATGTGATAAATCATATCAAAAGAATGAAGAAGAAAACATATGATTATTTCAATTGATGCTATAAAAGTATTTGATAAAATTCAACATCCTTTCATGATTAAAAAAATCTTTAAAAACTGAGTATAGAAGGAATGCACCTCAACATAATAAAAACCATATACAACAGACTCACAGCTAGTATCATACTGGATGGAGAAAAACTGAAAGCCTTTCCTCTAAGAACTGGAACATGACAAGGATGTCCACTTTCACCACTGTTATTCAATATAGTACTGAAAGTCCTAGCTACAGCAATCAGGTAAGATATAAATGGCATCCAAACTGGAAAGGAAGAAATCAAATTTTCCTTATTTGTAGATGATACAATCTTATATTTGGAAAAATCTAAAGATTCCATAACAATACTATTAGAACTGATAAATTCAGTAAAGTTGCAGGATACAAAATCAACACACAAAAGTCAGTAGCATTTCTATATGCCAACAGTGAACAATATAAAAAAGAAATAAAAAAGTAATCCCATTTACAATAGCTCCTAATAAAATTAAATACCTAGGAATTAACTTAAGCAAATAAAGATCTCTACAATGAAAATTAAACACTGATGAAAGGAATTGAAGAGGACACCAAACTATGGAAAAATATTCCATGTTCATGGATTGGATGCATCAATATTGTTAAAATGTTCATACTACCCAAAGCAGCCTGCAGGTTCAATGTAATCTCTATCAAGATAGGAATTACATTCTTCACAGAAATAGAAAAAAAAAATCCTAAAATGTATATGGAACCACAAAGGACCCAGAATAGCTATCCTGAGCAAAAAGAACAAAACTGGAGGAATCACAGTACCTGACTTCAAATTATACTACAGAGCTATAGAATCAAAAGAGCAGAGTACTGTCATAAAAACAGATACGTAGACCAATGGAACAGAATAGAGAACCCAGAAACAAATCCGCACATCTTCAGTGAACTCATTTTTGACAAAAGTGCCAAGAACATACATTGAGGAAAGGACAGTATCTTAAGTAAATGGTGCTGGGAAAACTGGATATCCAAAGCAGAAGAATGAAACTAGACCCCTATTTCTCACTATATAGAAAATTCAAACAAAATGAATTAATGACTTAAATCTGGCTGGGTGTGGTGGCTCACATCTGTAATCCCAGCACCCTGGGAGGCCGAAGAGGGCAGATCACTTGAGGCCAGGAGTTCAAGACCAGCCTGGCCAACATGGCAAAAAACCTGTCTCTACTAAACATACAAAAATTAGCCGGGCATGGCGGCGTGGACCTGTAATCCCAGCTACTCAGGAGGCTGAGGTGGGAGGATCGCTTGAACCTGGGAGGCAGAGGTTTCAGTGAGCCAAGATAGCACCATTGCACTACAGCCTGGGCAGATCAAGACTCTGTCTCAAAAATAAAAAAGAGAGAGACAAATCTAAGACCCTAAACTATGAAACTACTACAAGAAAACACTGGGGAAACTCCAGGACATTAGACAGGGCAAAGATTTATTGAGTAATAAATACCTCACAACCGCAGGCAACCAAAGCAAAAATGACCAAATGGAATCACATCAAGTTAAAAAGCTTCTGCATAGCAAAGGAACCATCAACAAAGTGAAGAGACAACACAGAGAATGGGGAAATATCTGCAAACTGGCCATCTGACCAGGGATTAATCACCAGAATATATAAAGAGCTCAAACAATCGGAAAAAATATTTAACAATCTGGTTTTAAATTGGGCAAAAGATCTAAACAGACATTTCTCAAAAGAAGACACACAAATGGCAAATATGAAAAGGTGCGCAACATCACTGATCATTAGAGAAATGGAGATCAAAACTACGATGAGACATTATCTCACCCCAGTTAAAATGGCTTTTATCCAAAAGACAGGCAATAAAAATGAGGATGTAGAGAAAAAGGAACACTCATACACTGTTGGTGGGAAAGTAAATTAGTACAAACACTATGGAGAAGAGTTTGGAGATTCATCAAAAAACTAAAAATAGGACTACCCTATAATTTAGCAATCCCATTGCTAAGTATACATACAAAAGAAAGAAAATCAGTATATTGAAGAGATTATCTGTACTCGCCTGTTTAGCGCAGCACTATCCATAACAGCCAAGATTTCAAAGCAACCTAAGTGTCCATCAATAGATGAAAGGATAAAGAAAACATGGTACTATACAGAAAGGAGTGTTATTCAGCCATAAAAAGAATGAGATCCTGTCATTTGCAACAACATGGATAGAACTGGCAGTCATTCTGTCAAGTGAAATAAGCCAGACACAAAGACAAAATTCTATGTTCCCACTTATTTGTGGGAGCTAAAAAATTAATTGAAACAATTAAACTCATGGAGATAGAGAACAGAATGGTGGTTACCTGAAGGTGGGAAGGGTAGTGAGGGAGTGGGGATGGTTAATGGGCACAAAAAAAAGTTAGAAAGTAGGAATTAGTATTTGATACCACAACAGTGTGACTATAGTCAATCATTTAATTGTACATAACTAAGAGTATATGTGGACTGTTGTAACACAAAGGATAAATGCTTCAGGTGACAGATACCCCATTTACCCTGATGTGATGATTCCAAATTGGATGCCTGTATCAAAATATCTCATGTACCCCATAAATATATACACCTACTATGTACCCGTAAAAACAAAAAGTTAAAGATTTAAAAAAAAAAAGAAGTCACTTTCACTTGGCATTTCATGCACCATTTAAAAACAAACAAAAAAAAAAAAAACAGGAGATGCCTACTAGTCCTTCAAAAACTAAAAGCCTTCACTGGAATACTTGTAACAACTGACGTACATGCTTTAGTCTTCCAAAATGGGAAAAACAAGGTAAAAACTAAAACCATGAAGTAAATAGTTTGCTTTAAACATTCTTCAAGTTTATATTGCCCATAAGCCATGTTTTCTAAAGTTCTTAAAATCAGTACTTTTGTGCTCTTATCTTGAATACTTCAATGTACCTGATTATAGTACCAGAATGTGGCTATAAGAACTAATGTCTCTATCATATTAATATAAAAAATATTTAAGGTATTTGCATTTTGTTTTAAAGTCAACTCTTCAGAAGAATACATCTTTTAAGTTATACCCTGACCATGAAATATCATGTTTTGGTCTTGATGGCAAAAAATATGCACAGAGAACATTCCCTGTCATACATTCCCTGCACACTAGGATAAAATGTATATTATTTCTGTAGTGGTGGAAGATGGGAGGAACTTCTGGTTTCAAATACTTAGTATTCAGGGAGAATAAAGAAAATAACCCTGTGGAAAAATACTTTCTTGGCTTAGCCACACAGGAAAATTCAGATGCAATTTTTTTTTTTTTTGTCATCTTCTCCCACAGGTGAACTCTCAGTAAGCAATGCAATTTTTCATCAGACAGGTTTTACTACATTTTTTAAAGAACAGTCTAATTTACAACCTTTGCATGTGCTTCAAGTTTTTCATGTTTAAGATACAAATATAACCTCAAGCAATTTGTTTTCATCTTGTAGTCATAAAACATGTGCAGGACACAGAAATCCTTTAGCTCTTAAAGGACACACTATTAAACATAACTTATTTATCTGAATATCAACTATGTTTACATGTTGATAAAGAGTATAGTTCTGAACCAAATAATTAAATTGTGCCATTCATATCACTTAGCTGATTCTTATTTTAAATAATTCAAGTTATATTCATATCTACCTTGTAGATTATAAGAGCTACATTATATATTTCTAAGCAATTTTAAATTAATTTTGCAAAGTAGTTTTCAGTATAGGTCATATACATTTAGTGTCCCTAAACCAGGGGTTTCCTGATCAATTAGACAATAAGGAATTGCTCGTAATATCCAGCCTTTGTCTTTATAACCTCCTATATAATATCTAGTTGTGGCCTCTGGAAAAATGTTGTACTGAGGACCCTCACCTATCAAGTAGGTAGAAGCAACAGACAGGTTCAGAACCACTACCCTAAACAAAGAAGTCAAGAGAAAGATTTAGAATAACTTTTATTCAGAAGGAAAACAAGTGAGAATATGCATGAAACTGAGGCATGTTAGGTTGGTCTGATCAACTGGCACCAGTGGCACAAGAAAATTAATGCCCTTCATCATGTGGAATCTTCTACAACACAATAGTTTATGTATTTTAAGGAGGTAAACTTTTGAAAATCAACAGAAGCAAAGGAAATGACAAAACATTTGCTGCTATCTGAAGAGTATATTCCACACTTCGTTTTTAGTAGCAATGTTGTTGAGAACACAAGGAAGCTCATTTTAAGATCTTACCAGGGAATCTGGTAACATTAACTATTAAACTTTATGTGTATATAAATCCCTCTAAATTAGTTCTAAATACCTTATATAATGATTACAGTTTTTTTTTGTTTGTTTGTTTTGTTTTGTTTTTTGAGACAGGGTCTTACTGTCACTGGGGCTGAAGTGCAGTGGTGTGATCTTGGATCACTGCAGCCTCCACCTCCCAGGCTCAAACAATCCTTCCACCTCAACCTCCCAAGTAGCTGGGACCACAGATGCACACCACCACACCCAGCTAATTTTTGTATTTTTAGTAGAGATGAGGTCTCACCATGTTGCCCAGACTGGTCTTAAACTGCTGGGCTCAAGCAATCCGCCCACCTCTGCCTCTCAAAGTGCTGGGACTACAGGTGTGCTGGGACTACAGGCATGAGCCACCATGCCCAGCTGATTACACACTTTTCTAAGTGGTTTTACTTAACTTCAGTCATGGATTTAAATAAGATAGAGGATTTAAACCAAGGTTATTTGCCTTTTCAAGGTATGCATGTGTGAATGTGTGTACATATATATACATACACACATATATATACATATATATACCTACATAAGATTTACCTAAAAGAAATAAATTTCTATGAATAGGAAAGTTCTAAAAAAGTGATGGAAATATGCCTCTTTCCAATTCTTACCAGCACCAACAGAGGAATCATAAGCCCTATAATGCTTCTTTTGAAAGATACAGTAGTAGACAAACATTAATGTCTAAAAATACCTTTTAAGCTCTACTATTTTCATTAAATAAGCAGGTTGTATGTTATACACAGCCCAGTGATAAAGCTTATCAAATAAGGCTTGCACACAAATCAAAGATGGAATAAAATAAATTTAAATCAGATTCGTTCAAATATTTTTATAAGGAATCAAAGATAGTTTTCATTTAAGATAGCTTAAACTTCGACTTGCCATAGAATACAGGTAATTTCTGCTTTACTCACAAATGAACATTGAAAATATTCAGGTTAAGTATTATGGGGCTTATAAAAGCTCATCTGTTTCAGTAATTTAAAGCAAACCATTATACCCAGTGAAAGATGATGTTCTCAAAAGTCCACCAAGCAAAAACATTTAGTTCTAGTTCTCATTTTAGTTCTATTTTCCCCGCTATCACGGTCATTAACAGCAGTATACAGAAATAACCCACAACTTATCAAACTTAGTGTCTCCACGAGTTTTCACACAAAGTAAACTATTAATCTTTTCTACAAGTGCCAAGTTTTAAGAAAGTGACTAAACAAAGTATTGTAGGGAATAGAGTTGAGAACTAGAAGTTTACACATAAACCTAAGAGAGAAGCAAGAAAAGTTTTCAAGCTGTCTGTTCCACAAGGGACTACCACCTTAAACTGTGTGCCAAAGAAGGCTAGCTCTAAGTGCTGCTCCCTAAAATGTTTAGAAAATGTTGTTCATAATACATGGAATATTTTTTGAAAAAACTGAGGCATTCTATAATTGCCCCCCCTCCAAATATACCTGTAACTTTCAAAAAAATTGTTTAACCCAATATTTTCAAGATACTTGACTTCAAATCTTTCTTACCCATTAAGAGTCCTGCAAAGTTAGTGTTTCTCACAGCATATTTTGAGAAACTATGTAAATTCTAGGTAATGTGCCACTGATTTAGGATCTATTAAGAAATCATATAATTAAGAGAAATCCAGCAAGGCAACAGGCAGAAAACTGCTTAGGAATGTTTAAAATATTTAAGATAACACAGAAAAGATAATGTAACAAGAATAGAATATGTGGGTCGTTATTATTGGTATGGTAAGCATCATCTGCATATACAGTCTATCAAATTGTTTCAGATTATTTTTTCATCCCTATTGCCAACATTTCACCCATGCCCTTTTCACTGTAGAATAATGGTAAGCTTAAATATCTTCCGAAGTTATTTTCCTCGTTATAGTCTATTTTTCTAATCTAGTGCTTCCCAAACTTAATTTATTGCTTATGAATAAGAAGGGATCTTGTTAAAAATGCTTAACTAATCTAATCTAGTGCTTCCAGCTTAATTTATTGCTTATGAATAAGCAGGGATCTTGTTAAAAGGTTTTGGGGGTGGGGTCTGAAATTTCCCATTTCTAAGAAGCTCCCAGGTACTATGATGCAACCACACTTGAGTAACAAAGATCTAATTCATTCTAAAAGCCACGCCTTACTACTCTTAACTCAGTGAATTGTGCGTAAACATCTATATTCAATTACTGGTCAAAAACTTCATTCTAGACCAATCTGGTTTTTCTCCTATTATACTCATTTCAACCCAACCCTGGTTTTTTTTCTTAAGATAAAATGTATGTAAAGTACAGATTTTAAATGTACAATTCAGAGTTATGATAAATGCATATTCCAAGTAACCAACTACTACCTCCCCCTACTTTAGGTAAAATGCATATACAGTGAAGTACAGATTTTTAATGTACAAGTCAATGAGTTTTTATAAATGTATATACCCGAGTAATGGCTATTCCTCTCCCAAAAAGATATAGAACACTGTCATCACATCAACTCTGTGTTTTGGCCCAACTCTATAAATGCCCTTTCACTTTTCTACTGCCTTTCCACATATCCTTAAAGACTCAATTGAAGCCCTTCCTTCTTCAAAGCACAACCAAAATTCACTCATGTACCACCATCTAAATTTATTTATTATTTTTGAGACAGGGTCTCCCTCCATCACCCAGTCTAGAGAGCAGTGATACAATCATGGCTCACTGCAGCCTCAAACTCCTGGGCTCAAGCAATCCTTCCCGCCTCAGCCTCCTGAGTAGCTAGGACTTACAGGCATATGCCACCATGTCCGGCATTTTTTTTTTTTTTCTTGTAGAGATGGGGTCTCACTTTGTTACCCAGGTTGGTCTCAAATTCCTGGCTGCATGCCTCAACATGTTGGCATTACAGGCATGAGCCACTGCACCTGGCCTCTATCTAATCTACCATTTTTAAGGCCCAGCCATCATCATCCCACTGAACAACTACAGTGGGCACCTCACAGGTTTTTCTACCTCTATTCTTGCTCCCATCCTCAATATATTATCCATGGAGTTGTCAGAGGGACCTTTTAAAATTACAAATCAAAGCAAGTTCCTGTCCTGCTTAAAATTCTCCAATGGCTTACCATCACATTTGCAATGAATCCAAATGCCTTTTCCTGTATCAAAAAGCCCCTACTTTTCTGACCTCATCTCTTGCTACTTTCCCTATTACTTTCTATGTTCTGGCCACTTGAACCTCCTTCCTGGTCCTACAATACAGCAAGATGTTCCTACTTTAGGGACTCCACATTCATTACTTCTTCTGCTCTTCCCCACCACCTTTATGACAGGCTTAGTCATTCAGATCTCAACTTTAAAGTCACCTCCTCACAGAAGCCTCCCTGACAACAAAATCTAAAGTAGCTGCTCGGTCATTCCCTAACACAAATCCTATTTTAATTCTCCACACAGCATCTATCATTGGTATTTATCTTGATGTGTTTGTTACTTATCTCTTCTCACAATAACATAAGCTCCATGACTATCACATTTTTCAACAGCGTTCTATGCTTTAACTTCTGAACCCAGAATGGCATCCATCTCGTTACAAGTAGACGCTTCACAAATGTTTTCTAAATAAACATGTTAACATAGATAATATATATTCATGTTATGCAGATGGAAATTGTGCCTAGTATCCCAATACAAAATTTCCTGTAAAATCTAAAAAGAATAAGAAAGCTATTGCTAGTTTTCAAACAAGATAAATCCTTCACAAGAAAAGAGGAGGAAAGCATTGCACCTTTAACCTGGAGCAAAAATAACATAAAACACAGGTTAAGGCAAAGTTTAACTCACATAAAGTTTAATCATCAAGTTAATGAAAATATCAAAATTTTTGAGTTAGTGTATGGCAGAGAAAATTTAGTTGCAAATAATACAGTTTTTGGTGTTTCCATTATTGACAAGCTATGCTGCAGAAAGAGCAATCGCATTAAATCTTAGTTCATCAGGGTCGCGCTCCATAAACTTCTTGCAAACTTCTATGGCATCCTATGGAGGAAAAAAAAAAGTATGATTTTTCAGTGTAAAAGTGTTTTACTTACAAATGATAAACATTTCATATTTTTCTAATTCATACTAATTTTACACTGCAAACTTCCTTTTCCAAATGAGAAATAAAGAACACCAGAAAAGTGAACATGGGTGCCCTAATTTGCTTTGTACAAAAGTATAAGATACAGTAAGTTTTTGTTTGTTTGTTTGTTTTTTGAGACAGAGTCTTGCCCTCTGTCACCCAGGCTGGAGTGCAGTGGTGCAATCTCGGCCCACTGCAACCTCTGCCTTCCGGGTTCAAGCAAATCTCCTATCTCAGCCTCCCTAGTAGCTGGGACTACAGTCACATACCACCACACCCAGCTAATTTCTATATTTTTAGTAGAGATGGGGTTTCACCATATTGGTCAGGCTGGTCTCGAACTCCTGACCTCAGGTGATCCACCCGCCTCGGCCTCCCAAAGTGCTGGGATTATAGCCGTGAGCCACTACGCCTGGCCGTAAGTGTTCTTAAAATGCTATTAAGAAACTTTTCAACTAAAAATCACGTTTCATTGATTCTAAGCCACACAATTTATTCATGTTTTAAAATCTCTAAAATCAGGATCAAGATACAATTAATGGTATCCTGGATTTGATGAAATCTCGGATATAATGAGCAAGTCTTTCAATACTATTCTTGCCTTTTCAATTTTTACATTTGTTCATAGAGCTGTGAAAACCTCTTTATTTGTTGTAGATTTTTAACACTAATATAAATTTTCTTTTTGGATTTTCTAGAGAGAACAAGGATAAAGAAGTATCCAAATACAAAGAAAATGTTATGCAAGTGACCTTTAGAGATGTTTTAAAGATGACAAAATATTGATGAAGATGGGCCAACAAGTGTTACTGTTACCTCTAATAAAGTTTCATCACTAGTTTCACCATGGTTAATTGGAAATGGCTTCCGCCCATCTGTGGAAAACAGACAAACAATTGAATGCTTAGCTGTTTTTACAGGATAATGTGCTTTCAACTTCCATTTTCCTCTTCCCCCAGTGAGGCAAGAAAAGTTAAAAGCCATTTTCAATAATATATCCTAAAACAAATGTTTTAATGTGCTACCATGAATATTTTTTATTAAAGGTTATTAGTTAGAACTTTGCTTCCATATTTGAAAGCCTAAATTATCTTCATGAACGGAATTTATTACAATGCTGGCTTTCGTTTCCTGAAAATAATACGCAAAATTATTGTCAGTTTTTTAAAAATTATCACCCCAGCTTTTATCCTTGGAAATTAAAAAAATTTCTTTTTTCACTTTAAATAGGAAGATCTCAAGTAAGACAGACATGTTTAAAACAATGAAAGGGAGCTACACTGTCATGGCTTATACAATACTACTATTAACTGTGTACTATCAATGCAGTAATATAGAGGAATAATCCAAATAACCCAGGGTTATTTTACTGACCACCAAAATAAGCAAATTCACAATCAACTTAAATAAACTAGTACTTTTTCAATATTATTTTTTAAGAAGTCCAGAATTATTTAAACTCATGCTAACCCAAAGTCAACTGACAATTATATATCCAAATCCATAATCTCAGATGTCTTGTAAGTGGCTCTTCATTAAGTTCAATCCATAAAACACAGCCCCTTCTACGATTCCATGGTTTCTAACCATAATAAAAATTTCTGAATATGCATCTAGTAATAGACTTGGTTGTTAGATTTTTTTTAAAAAAATGAATGAAAATCAACACATAAATTCATCTCCATAAAAAGTAATATTAATTTCTATAAATTATATCATCAGAATTTGTGATTCCTATTTTTGGACTAACATTGAGATAAATATTCAAAATCCTAAAGAAACTTATCCCTAAATTACAATGCCTGGGACATAATTCCTAAAGTTTCTAAGAACCTTTAGGAAATATTTTCCTGTAACTATATTACACATGAACACTTAATTATCCATATTTCTATGAACTTATACTATCTTTCTAAATTATAATGTATATTTCTCAATAATATATCATAAAATGTCTTCTTAAAATATCCTTTTGTGGTAAATGCTTATTCTTCAATAGACTATTCTATGTTTATATGACTATCACATTCATTATGTGCCACCCCATTTTGTATTATTTTTTAATGTTTACATAAAGGCAAAAGTATAAGTAAACAATGTAGGCTGTTCCCTCCCTAACCAAATTATAAATTAATATATATTTTTTCCTTTTGTATTTTTCTTTCTTCTATTTAATTTAGAGACAGGGCCTCACTTATATTCCCCAGGCTGAACTTAACCTCCTGCGTTCAAGCAATCCTCCTGCCTCAGCTTCCCAAGTAGCTGGGACTGCAGGCACATGCAACAGCACCTGGCTTAATATATGTATTTTCCTGGTTTCCATCATTTCTGTGTGTGTGTCATTCATGAGACTAAAGAGCTAATAAACTCAGTTATGGCTGGGTGTGGTGGCTCACACCTGTAATTTAAGAAGATTGCTTGAGGCCAGGAGTTCAACACCAGCCTGGGCAATACAGTGAGACCCCACCTTTACAAAGAATTAATAAATTAGCCAGGTATAGTGGCACAAGTCTGTAGTCCCAGCTGTTTGGGAGGCTGAGGCAGGAGGATCACTTGAGCCCAGGAGTTCAAGGACGCAGCAAGCTATGATCATGCCACTGCACTCCAGCCTGGGTGACAAAGTGAGATTCTGTCTCTAAAAAAATAAAATAATAACATAATAAAATAAAAACAAAAAATGGCAGTGAGCAATTTTCCTTTGAATGCAGCTGTTTAAAGTAACATATAATTAATTTCAATTATTATAGACTAAGATTGTTAAACAACTGATCCTGAAATGTCAAAACCGTACAGTCTATTTTTATAATAGCAGTATAGAACAAAGATTAATTATGATTTTTACTGTTATTCTAATCCATGGGCCAAATCCAGCCCTCAGTGTATTTTTAATGCCTCCTTTAAGCTAAGACTGGTTTTTATGTTTTTAAAAGACAGTATGTAGCCCACAAAACCTAAAATATTTACTACTTGGTCCTTCACAGAAAAATTTTGCCAAAACAATAAAATGTAAAATTTGCTGTTGTTCCAAACACTACTACCACAAAACTGTCACTTGCCAACAACTTTGCGTGTAATTTCAGTAAATGCATACGCTGCAGATGAATCCATGAGGCTCAGAGACTGTCACACTTACAGGCCCCTTCTAAAAGAGGCAGGAAAAAGCTGCACCTTGTACATGGGTCATGTAACCTAAAAACCCCAGTCCAAACGGGCTGTGCCACTTCCAGGCTGGACGGGGAAGAAAATAGTGGCCTGACTTTTTGGTAGTAACTAACCAATTCATTCAGAACTTGTTTTTTGCATAGTGTGATCACAAGCCCCCAGAGAAAGGTGACAACAGAGTTGTACAAGAGACAAGCGACATGACAAACATCACGAGATGCTTTTTGGTGCAGATAACTGAGTATCAGCTACTGTCAAATACCCAACAATGGCCAACGACGTGAATGATGGAGCTTAAAAAACAGAGACTATACAGAAATAAAAACTGTTTTACTGGTTTTGTTTTTGTTTTGTTTTTGTTTTTGTTTTTTTTGAGACAGAGTCTCGCTCTGTCGCCCAGGCTAGAGTACAGTGGCACAATCTCAGCTCACTGCAAGCTCTGCCTCCCGGGTTCACGCCATTCTCCTGCCTCAGCCTCCCGAGCAGCTGGGACTACAGGCACCCACCACCACACCCAGCTAATTTTTTGTATTTTTAGTAGAGATGGGGTTTCACCATGTTAGCCAGGATGGTCTCGATCTCCTGACCTTGTGATCCACCCACCTCGGCCTCCCAAAGTGCTGGGATTACAGGCGTGAGCTACCACACCCAGCCACAGAAATAAAAACTTTTTAAAAATGTACAGGCTTAAAAAAGAGAGACTATACAGAAATTAAAACTTCTAAAAAATGTACAGGCATGCCTGAGAGATACTGTGGGTTAGCTTCCAGAATACCACAATGAAGCAAGTATCACAATAAAATGAGTCACAAATTTTTTTGTTTCCTAGTGCATATAAAAGTTATGTTTATATTACTCTGTAGTCTATTAGGTATACATTAGCATTATGTCTAAGAAAACAATATACATACCTTAATTAAAAAACACTTTATTCCTAAAAATGCTAATGATCATCTCAGCCTTCAGCAAGTTGCCATCTTTTTGCTGATGGAGGGGCTTGCTTTGATGTTGATATCTCCTGACTGATCAGGACGGCGGTTGCTGAAGATTGGGGTGGCTGTGGAAATTTCCTAAAATAAGACAATAATGAAGTTTGCCACATTTGACTCTTTCTTTTATGAAAGATTTCTCTGTAGCATGTGATGCTGTTTGACAGCACTTTACCCACAGGAGAACTTCTTCCAAAAATGTTGTCAATCCTCTCAAATTCTGCTGCTGCTTTATCAACTACATTTATGTAATCTTCTAAATCCTTTATGGTTTGTGGTCATTTTAACACTGTTCATGACCTCTTTATTAGGAGTAGATTCCATCTCAAGAAATCAGTTTATTTGCTCATCTTTAAGAAGCAACTCCTTACTTGTTCAAGTTTTATCATGAGATTGCAGCAGTTCAGTCACATCTTCAGGCTCCCCTTCTAATTCTAGTTTTCTTGCTATTTTCATGATATCTGCAGTTACTTCCTCCAATGAAGTCTTAAACCCCTCAAAGTCATCCATGAGGATTGGAACCAACTTATTCCAAACTCATGTTAATGTTGATACTTTGAGCTCTTCCCATAAATCATGAATGTTCTTAAGGGCATCTAAAATGGTGAATCCTTTCCAGGAAGTTTCCAATTTACTATTCTCAGATCCATCAAAGCAATCACTGTGGCAGCTATAGTCTCACAAACTGTATTTCTTAAATAACAAGAAATGAAAGTCTAAATGATTCCTTGATCCATGGGCTGCAGAATGGATGCTGTGTTAGCAGAAATGAAAATATTAATCTCTTTGTAAATATATCTATATCGGACTTCTTGGATTACAAGGTGCATTGTCAATTAGCAGTAATATTTTCAAAGGAATCTTTTTCTGAGCAGTACGTCTCAACAGAGGGCTTAAGAGATTCAGTAATCCAGGCTATAAATAGATATACTATCATCCCGGCTCTGTTGTTCCATTTATAGAACATAGGCAGAGAAGATTTAGCATCATTCTTAAGGACCCTAAAATTTTCTGAATATCAAATGATCATTGGCTTCAACTGAAAGTCACCGTCTGCATTAACAAGACAATCAGCCTGTCCTTTGAAGCTTTGAAGGCAGGTGTTGACATCTCCTCTCTAGCTACAGAAGTCCTAGATGGCATCTTCTTCCCAAGAGAAGGCTAGTCATCTACATGGAAAATCTGTTGTTTACGTAGCCACCTTCACGGAAGATCTGAGCTTGATCTTCTGGATAACTTGCAGCTTCTCCATCAGCATATGCTGCTTCACCATGCACTTTTATGTTATGGAGATGACTTCTTTCCTTAAACCTCATGAACCAACTGCTAGCTTCAGACCTTTCTTCTGTAGCTTCCTCACCTCTCTCAGCCTTAACAGAACTGAAAAGAGGTATGGCCTTGCTCCAGATTAGGCTTAAGAAAATGTTGTAGCTAGTTTGATCTTCTATCCAGACCACTCAAACTTTCTCCATATCAGCAATAATACTGTTTTGCTTTCTCGTCATTCATGTGTTCACTGGAGCAGCACTTTTAATTTCCTTCAAGAACTTTTCCTTTGCATTCACAACTTGGCTTATTGTTTTGCACAAGAGGCCTAGCTATCAGACCATCCTGGCTTTCAATATGCCTTCCTCACTAAGCTTAATCATTTCTAGTTTTTGACTTAAAGTGAGAGACGTGTGACTTGAATGCTTACAGGCCTTTGTAGGGTTATTATCTGGCCTCATTTCAATATTATTGTGTCTCAGGGAATAGAGAAGTTCAAAGAGAGGAAAAGAGATGGGGAAATGGCTGGTTAATGGAGCAGTCAGAACACATACATGAAATCAATTAAGTTTGCCAGCATATATGGGTATAGTTTGTGGCATCCCAAAACAATTACGGTAGTAATATCAAAGATCACTGATCACAGATACCATAACAGATATAATAATAAAACGTTTGAAATGTTGGGAGAATTACCAAAGCGTGACACAGAAACACAAAGTGAGCACATGCTGTTGGAAAAAATGGTGCCAATAAGCTTGCTCAAAGCAAGATTGCCATAAACCTTCAATTTGTAAAAAATGAAATATATGTAAAGTACAGTCAAATGAGGTATTCCTGTATTATTACTATCCTTAAAATGAGGAAATTCTACATACATAAAAGAACAGAATGCCATATTTTCAAATGCTATGCAAACTCAGAGAACAGAAGAACTCTTAAAAATTAAAACTATGGCCTGTGTGCAGTGCCTCATGCCTGTAATCCCAGCACTTTGGAAGGCTAAAGCAGGAGGATCAATTGAGCCCAGGAGTTCAAGACCAGCCTGGGCAACATAGCTAGACCCCAATTTACAAAAAAAAAAAAAAAAAATAGCCAGGCATGGTGGCACAGGCCTACAGTCCCAGCTACTCAGGAGGCTGTGACAAGGGGATTGCTGGAGCCCAGGACATCAAGGCTGCAGTTTGAAGGGGTTCCTTTCAAAGGCCAAGTCTGCAGTAATTTGAGCATAAAAATACATGATATCATGGATTATAATCATTCAAGTAAAGTAGGAATCCATGAGTCCATTCTGATTATAAATGAATAAATGAGAGGAAAAGGAAAGCTTCTAATGTTGGGGGAATTTTTTTTTAATTGCCATTTGGCAATAGTCATAATGATAATCCAGTCAAGAATAATCAATGGATGCAAAATCTGGAGGATAAAAGCTTGATGAGCAACTGCATGACATACTTCTTAACTTTATTGTGAAGAAACTACCTAAAAGTCACTAAACATCACCAGTAATGGGGCAAATTGACATCATGTGCCTCTCGATATGATGCACTGAGAAGAACGCAGCATTATTTCTGCAGTTATTCCTGCCAAAAATGCATAAATCATGAGGATAAATCAGATGGCCTAAATTGGAGGATAATCTCAAAGTAACTGGCCCTATACTCTTAAAATAAATGTTACAGTCATGAAAGACAAGAAAGCATTCTGAGGTACTGTTCCAGATTAAAGAAGACAAAGAAACATGACAAATTCAACACATAATCCTGGATTGGCTCCTGAATAGAGGACATTATTGTGATAATCAGGAAAACTGTAATGGGGTCTGTGGATCAGATAATACTGGATCAATGTTATAATAATTTCCTGATTTTGATATTCATACTATAGTTATGTAGGAGAGTATCCACTTGTTTTGAGAAAATACACACCGAAGTTTTAAAGATAATGGGGCATCATGTCTTCAACTTATTTTCAAATGGCTCAGAAATATGAATTGAATCTGGGTAATCTGTGGGAGGATGTATGGGAGCTCTGTATACTATTTCTGTAACTTCTACAAACATCTTAAGTTACTTCAAAATAAAATTTCTAAAACTGCTTCAAAGTATTCCTGTTACTTCAGGTAGACAATAATTTATTAGTTAATGGTTTTTTAATCTGATTGTTCAATCAGTTCCAAATCCACCTCTAAATCCCAATGCTCTACTCTATATCCACAAGGAGTCATTTTATCTATTTTAAAATATGTACTTCTTCCCCTTTACATATGCCAGAAACTATATGAGGCCCCAAGGAAAAGGGAGGGTGATAACAAAAGAGAAATAACTCAGTCCTTTTCATTGGTTAACCTTACAATTTATTAGAGTAGGGAATTAATACATTAAAGACTACCACCATTCTCTGTTAAATATAGATATCCTATAGAAATTAACTTGCACAATGTCTACAATCATACAGCCTTATTTTTAAAAATAAAGTTACAGTCATCTCTCCATATCTGTGGGGGACTGGTTCCAGGACACCGGCCCCATCTCATACCAAAATTTTGAGATGTTCAAGCCCCTTGACATACTCTACCTAAATGGTATAGTATTTGCATATAACCTACACAATTCCAAATACTTTAAATCATCTCTAGATTACTTATCATACATAATACAATATAAATGCTATGTAAATAGTTGTTATGTTGTTTTCAAAATTTGTTTTTTATTGTTGTATTGGTATTTATTTTCTAATACTTTCAATCCACAGTTGGTTGAATCTACCAATGCAAGAACCCACAGAGAGCAAATTGAACTTTGAAATGACTTCTTTCTTAAAAGTTATATAGTGTCTTCTTTTCTTTTTTTTTTAAGAGATGACGTCTTGCCATGTCACCCAGGCAGAAGTGTAGTGGCTGTTCACAGGTGCAATCATAGCACACTGTAGCCTCAAACTCCTGGGCTCAGGCAATCGTGCTTCAGCTTCCCACTACAGAAAGTGGGACTACAGGAACACACCACTGTGCCCAGTGCTAATCTCTTAATCATTATTTTCTACTCACTAACTCAATACTCTTCTTGCTCAATATTCCTTTTGAATTTATTAGATCTGCATCAGAGTTACTGCCAGTTTCCTTTGCAATGAATCAGCAACTGTCCATCTTTGTAATGTACCTATTATTGCTCTGACATCTCAAAGATTATGGCTATTCTTTACCACTCTGAAATTATTTAAACTCATTTAAAAAATCTAATTTCCAGTAGGCTTCTAATTTTCCATCAGATCATTCTTCTTGATAAAGAATATCTAAACCAAACAAGACCTCAGTAGTTCTGCCTTTGTTTTATGAAGTTCTTACTTCAAACCAATTTTAAAATCCTTTTGTGTTGATCTTGGCATGCTCCAAAAGAGCATCATTCTTCATATGTAGCTTACCCTTGATATATGTCCTTCCTTCTAACTGCCCTTTTAGCCTCTGAGCCAAGACAGCTCTCTAACTAGTAAAACCGAGTTTTTTTTTAAGATAACTCTTTCCTTCCCATTGAGATCATTAGAGAGGTTTTCTTTTGGTTTAAATATATTTTAGATGTTATTGTTTGCTCTGTAAGTCTCTCATTCTGAAAGTCACAATCAGATTTATAGTCTCTGGTTATGAATCCTACATATGTTTGCTCTGGCCAAATCTACTTTCTTGAAGTTAACAGAATGTGTCTGTTAAGTCCCAGCACTCTTTATTTCCTCTTCCACTAGTTATTATTTACTATTCACAATTCAGAGTAGAAAATCTGCTTCCAGCAACCACCCAGACATCTGAAGTCCCCAATCACTGTTATACTTTATCTCTGCAGATTTTGTAGACTCAATTAGCAAGGCACATCTTCAAAACTGTCCTGGAGGTCCATTATATACTACCAAAATAATGACTTCTTCTCATTTAAGTTTTATTACTCCTCAAATCACTCTAGTATTGTAGACAACGCTCAGGGTTGCACATTTTTATAAATACTATGTTCTTTCTTTTCCTTGTCCCCTTTGATAGGGCCATTTCTTTTTAATAAAGTATGCGATCTGTTGCTAATATTCCAAACACAAAATCCACCTAAATTTTATGGATCACATTTACAGTCACAATCTGTGTTCTTTCAAAATCTTCTATCTTTATACAACTTAAAATTAATGTGACAAGGTAATATATAGACAGCAAATGAGAGGTAATAGAACCAAAACTCACGGTATCTAGAATTACTGAAAAGAACTTCTCTTTTTTGTTGTTTATTTGGCTTTTTTAAAACTCGAGAAGGTCTTATGGAAAAGAATAAGAAGAAGTCATAATAAGTATTGTATACCAATTATGAAAAAATTACAAGAAGTTTATTCTGTCTGAGTAAATTATGTGATCTCCTCCAACATGCCATGAAATAGTCCACTGAAAGGTAAACTTAAAAAAAAAAAAAGTACAGGTATAAGCCAAAATACCAAGTAACTAATCATGGGTACTCTGACATATGCCTGAAGAAAACAAAGGCTCCTGTAAAGTCTTTAAAAAATCACAGGAACATTACAAAACCCTGAAAACTAGTGACACTCAGCCCAATCATTACAACTATTACGCTCTTTTTTTTTTTTTTTTTTTTTTTTTTTTTTGAGATGGAGTATCACTCCTGTTGCCCCGGCTGGAGTACCATGGCACGATCTCGGCTCACTGAAACCTCCACCTCCTGTGTTCAAGCGATTCTCCTGCCTCAGCCTCCCAAGTAGCTGGGATTACAGGCATGTGCCACCACGCCGGGCTAATTTTGCATTTTTAGTAGAGATGGGGTTTCTCCATGTTGGTCAGGCTGATCTTGAACTCCTGAGCTCAGGTTATCCGCCTGCCTCAGCCTCCCAAATATTACACTATCTTTTAAAACTAAAGGTTGTTCAGCCAGATATTGATGATAACCCACTCAATAATTTTGTAATGATTGCCAGAGAGATTTGAAGCAGTTCCCTGTAATGGTTTTTACTTTCTTGCTTTGCTAAAATGCGAAGATGGTATGCAAACATTTTTGAATTATAAGTTGCTTAAACATAAAATAACATTTTTCTAGTAAACTGTCTTAAAAGGAAAACTGTCGCTATGTCAAATCAATTTTATAGGCAACCAGTTAATTTAAGTAAACACAATAAATATCAATAGTCCTGTTTATCATAAGTAGAGACTTTCCCATTTACCATTTCTCTCCCCAGGACAAATTAAAATAGTTCTTACCTAATTCATAGAGATGCCCATCTACATGAACTAATGCAATAAAATGAAGATCTACTTTCTCATCTATACTTGGTGCCTGGAATAGGAGGGAAAAATAGGTATTATATACATTAGTAGTCAAACAAATCAGTCATGTATACATAAACACATACAAATAACATCAAATTATATAAGAGAACATTTATCCAATATAATTCAAGGCTTAATGTTTGGTATAATGGACAAAGAGTGACCATGCCTGTGTTTGTGACAATGTGCTCAGTTATCGGCAAAGAAAACAGTGACTAAAAGCACAACTTTCTTAATCTCAACTATCTAAAGACCAAAAATTGTGTTCACCTTAGAAGCCTCAGCACTTAGCACAATGCCTGGTATACAGTATATGCACATTGCATACTTACTGAATGAAATGAATACATGAACTGATATGTATGAGTTTTTAAAATTTGAAATAAGAAAGTTAAAATATTTTTACACCTAACAGCTTAAAGAAACTCTTTTCGAGTTAAATTTTAAGATGTCAAAAGAGATGTTCCCTTAAAGACTTGAACTTGATAATCTGATGTTTCAACAGTGCAGTGTAAACAGTCTTTGAGTAAAATAAGCATTTTAACCCACTCTGGATTTTAAAAGTTTAAAAATGAATAATGCAGGAAAATAGCCTAGGCGATTAAAAGGAAGGGAAAAAAGATAAGAACAAATTAAAGTACAATTCACAGTAGCCTGTGATTTTTCTCTTGCTTTGATGCTTAACAAACAATTTGAAATTAAGACTAGATCTACATTTCTTTAGCTTACCAATCAATTTGCATGAGCAATATCTACATTTCTAAGGCATTCAAATAACATATGCAAAGTCGATACATTGATTAACTGGCACTTCCTATGATATGTAGTAACTATACAGCTAATATTAATATGAGTTAGCTATACATCAAATCTAAATGGTTTGAAATGAAATACAATCACTGTTAAAAATGCAAATAGAGCACAAATTTTAAAGGAAAAGTTTTCAAATGGCATAAATCAAATTATATCTCAGATTACTTAATATCCTTTCAGTAACAGATAGTATCTTAAATAAAAAATTATATTCTTTTCATCCTCAAGTAAGTATATATTTTCAAGTAGTTGTAATATGAAGTTTTCTGATGCAGATATTGAAAGGTACAGAATAAACATTACTATCTTGGATATACAGAATGTTTCTAAAACATTTATATATAGTGTTTCACCTAATCTCACATTATTCTTCAGAGGTTATTTCCCTCAAATTATGAACGGAAGAAATTCAACATAAACTGATGTGGCAAGCCAGCTCTTCTAGCTTCACTCTAGAACTACAGAATTCCACAGGTGTTAGCAATCAGAGTTATCTAGTTTTATTGTTGCTCCAGTACTGCACTTCTCCATCCTGTGGTAGCCCCTCTAATGCCAGAGGCTCCTCCGCTAGGTTTTGAGGCAGTCCATTCCATTGTTAGACAGTTTTGTTAGAATTTTCCCTCATACTGAGGCTAAATATGTCTCCTTGTATTTTCCATCATCTTAGAAAAAAGTCTAATCCCTCCTGAACATATTTCTTTAAATATGTGAAGACAGTGATAATGAGTTCCCTTACTTTCCTGGTCAGAGAATCAAAAAATATTACTGGCCACCTCAGTCTAATATCTCCATTTATCAATAATCAGAAGAGAGTCCAATTTTTTAAGGCTAAACCTAGGCAATTATATAAACTGTAACTTTAATTCTATAATAAAAAAGGCTATAATGAATTATTCATTCACCTAGGAAAGAGTCTTCCTTTTACTCATTTTAAGACAATTTTCCAACAGGATATGAAATACTCTAAATCTTTTAAACTTTATGCTTTCATAAATTATTAGTTACCTTAACACCATCTCTTCTTAAGAATTACACATCTTATAGCTTCTATTTTTTATATTGTGCCAGTAAATACAACCATGCTAGAGGTAAAAGTAGTACAACTGGAGTCAGAGAACTGAATATGGACCCAATCCCTGTAAGCCTTGGGTTTCTTATCCACCTCGAGGTTTAAATGAGCTGCATGAAAGTACTTTGTAAACTGTTAAGTGTTATATAAACCTTATGTATTACTCCAATAACAATACTACATTATTGCAAATGTAAGCAATTACCAAATGTAGTGACTCAAAATTGTGCATCGTTGCACCTTTAATCTAAAAGTGCATACTAAAAATACAAAATTCTAAAAAGGGTATGAAAAGCCTTCAAACTATTATAAAAGATAAGCAAAGCTCAAAACTTCTAAGCCTTCCACAAAACCTCAGAACCTGTGATAAGCCCTTTCCTTCAGTCAGCTTCAATTAGTCTCAGAGTCTAAAAATCTGTAATTATTTAATTGCTTAAAAGTTATTCCACTAAAAACAAGAAAAATAAATAAAAAGCAAATTTCAGCAAGTCTTGTTTCAAAAAATGACCAAGAAATAACTACACAAAGGGCAAAAAAAAAAAAAAGGCTATAGATGGGATCTTTTTTCCTTCATATATATATATATATATATATATATATATATATATATATATATATATATATGAAGGAAAAATTAAAATTCCACTTTACATCCAAACACCATTTTGGCTTTGAAGCTGCTGCCTGATATTGACACTTCATAGATGTAGTATGACTATTCTTGTATGTCTCTATCTACTGATAAGGATCCTACTCTTTTAGTATAAATAGTACCATTGACTTCCAATCAATTAGTTTTGATATATATATCCCTAATTTAGAATGCAACACTTCTTAGTTAACTCAAAGAATTAAAAAGTGATAACAAATCAATTAGATATAAATTAAATACTAAATATAAATGTCACATTAAAATATACACTAAATTTAATGTATAATTGTATAGCACTTAATACATACCACCAGGCACTGTTCTAAATGTTTTATATGTATCAAATAATTAATCATCATACTGGTTGAGCATCCCAAATCCAAAAATCTGAAATCTCAAATGCTCCAAAACCTCAAACTTTTTGAGCACCAACAGGATGTTCAAAGGAAATGCTAACTGCAGCATTGTGGATTTTAAATGTTCTGGCTTGAGATACTCAACCAGGTAAGTCTAATATAAATAATCCAACCAAAATCCAAAACACTTCTCATCCCAAGCATTTTGGATAAGAGATACTCAACCTGTATAAACCCAATAAGGTACGTAATATAATTATACCCATCTTACTCTTGAGAAAACTGAGGCACAGAAGCATTAAGTAACACGCTGTAGGTCATATAGCTAGTAAGTGGTAGAATCTGGATTCAAACCCGAGCAGTGTGCTTCTAGAATCCATGTTCTTTACTACTAAGCTACAAAAACATTTAAAGCTATAAGGCAATGGAACTAATATGGAGCCAAGATCAACATTATATAAAAGCATATAAAACAGGAAATGCCAAATTTTATATGTTCATTTATATTTGGAACATTTTTAAGTAGAAAAGAAATAATTCACATTAGAATTGGATCAATTGTGCTCATGTCAGAATTTACACCTTTAGGATTCTACCCTGGTCATTTAGTTCACCTTGTATCTCTCACTGTGTCAAATGGCATATGGCACAGTAGAGAAGCAACAAATATCAAATGGATGAACGAATAAAAATGAAGAATGTCGTGACCCAATGAGGATAATGAAATAGAAAGAGATGTGAGTTTGTTGATACTCAGCAGAAATGGAAAAGTATTTGATGACCATACTGATATTTGGTGGAAGCAAATATTTAAGGAAAGATACCACTTCACAGTTTGAGTATAACACTAGAAGGGTAAATAAGGGGAAGGAAAGAATGCTTGCCATTGACTTTTAATTGTTCTTAAGCATTAAATGTACGTGTAATCAGACTTCCTCCTCTGGCTTCAAAAGCCATCATAATTTATAGAAATGTCAAATTTCTTATAAATGTATGGCACACACCAAAGCTTTAAGATATTCCATTTCTAGGGAGGCTCTGCCAAACCACAGTCATTGCCTTTAATAGTCCAAAACATCAGAAAGACAAGAGCTGTAGTTGCTTAATTCTGTAGTGTATCTCAATTATGATAATTACTAGAATTGCATCATCAGTCTCAACATTTAAGATAATTAGCAAGATTATAAGAAAAATGTATTTTTAATAGTTTGCAGATATCATTAGCCTATGAAAGAGAAATCATAAATTTGTGGGAAGCCTACATCAATACACAAGGAGAAAATCTTCATTTCCTACTTGGAAAAGATCTTTAGAAACTGAATAGGCAGGAAAGATCAGATCAAGATTAAACCAAGTACCTGAGCCACCTCAGGGAATAAAATAATAGCTTAGATGAAACACCCTACACCATGAAGGATTTAGATTGAGAATAGAGTAAGTAAAGTAACCCCAGAGCATGGCAAGAGACTAAAGTCATGCTCAGAAACATAAAAAAATAATAATAATAAAGTAATAGATGGCAAAGAACTCAGAAGGTACACAGCATTTGTTGACCTGAGTCAACTAAATGAATTCAGAAAGCTGAAGGGTAACAGAACACATATTCACTTTAACAATTAACCAGACTTAAACATTATCATGAATGTGGATCAGTGCTCATCAAAAGGCAGGTGCCGTTATGTTGGCAGGATATGGAGTGGAAAGATGGATGTTCTGAGGCACTGGCAAAAGTCAAGCTAGAATGCAAAGCATAGAGATATGCTTGCAATCTTATTGGGGGAGAAAAAGCTAATGGTTGAGTGAACCAAGAGAAAAGCACTCTGAAGACCGAAGTTAAGAAAAAAAAAAAAAAAAGACAGCCCTTGTCACTGGAAGAAGAGACGGAAGATTGACTAAACTTACAACAGAATGGAGACCCAAAGATGGTAGACGTAAGAAGGGTCGCCAGCGACGAAGACGGAGAGATGGACTGGTAGCCTTTGCAGGGCCTACATGGTTACGTTTGACCCAGGGCAGGGATGCATGGTGACACAATGATGAGGCCTTCGTTCTGCAGTGGCTAGAATGAGGCTGTGATGAGGATGGCGAGGAGGACTACATAATTAAAAAAGAGAATATTTTACTTAGACCACGTTACTGGGTGATCATTTATTCTTAAAAGCAACGTATGGTCATGCTTGTAATTCATATGGTCTACTATTTTTAATAACCATAATCTATCTAGCAAAGGATCATGTATGAATATTGGTTAAAAGCAGGTAAAGTGGAAATATATAACCAAGTATCAGGTTATATGCCATAGTTCTATATGTGTACATTGATAATATTCACATATCCTCATTTGCATAGCACAGACTCATGGAAATTAATATGTAAAAGCCACTAAAATTATTACATCAAAATGTTTTTAAAAAGTAACACACACACAAAAACCATGTAACGCATATAAAATGCACAAAGAATAACGGGTAGAAGAAAACTGTGTGGTGATAGGCATTGGTAAAAAAGAATTCCTTAAAAGGAATAAGCTCCAAGAAGAAAAAAAAAGCCAACTTTAAAATATAAACAAGAGTGAAATTAATTCCTCCAAAGCTGACGATCTGAATAAACTATCCTCCTACTTAGGCTGACAGGTTACATGGAAAATATCATGGCCTCTTAGCTATCTTTTAGGAAACAATATCATTAAATATAATACGCATCTTTTTTTATGCCAGGTGCTTTTTAAGGACTTGACATATATAGGTTCATTTAACCTTCCAGTAACCCACAGGCACAACTATTCCTGTTATGCAAATGAGGAATCAGAGCACAAATGGGTTAAGTAACATAACCAAGGTCACATTGCCAGTAGGTAACAGAACCGGGATTCAGACCCAGGAAATCAAGTTCTAGAGTCCAATGATCTTAATCACTGTGGTGTAAACCCAAAGTGACCAAGAAAAATATGTTAATGCTAACATGGGACACATACTGTTAAGGAGAGAAATAATTCTGATAAGGTTAGGTATTTTGGGAACACCTTTTCAAACACTATTGTACCACAAAAGGAAAATCTAGCCAAGAGTTTTCTACAAAGTATACAAGGGTATGATAACATAATAGTAGTAATCCAAATGACTTCATAATTGTCACATTGGATTAATAACACCAGTATATAAAATAAAAAATTTGAGGGAGTATGACAAAATTACAATCACTACAATCATAGTGAGAAGAAATAAAAAGAATGGTAATATAAATCCTTGCTTGGTGATAATAGATTTTGCTAACCGTAACAACCATAATAGATTTCTCTTAAGGAACATGAGTTTTACTTTCCGAATGATTTTTAAAACTCTTGTCAACTGTGAAAATTCTCTAATCCTACTTAGTACCTTCAATCTAAATATACAATATACTAACCTTTAAAAAAAGCTATCATTTTGATGCGGGGTTAAAAAATATGTTTGAACATTTTAGCGGCTCATAATAAGAATCAGTCAATCAAAAATACATAAATGAATCCTATACTTGATTCTATATGGGAACAAAAGTGTATATGATAATGTCTTCTCTCACAGATATAGTTTAATAAGAAATTTGTCACATTCAATCTGGTTATGTTCAAATAACAGGAAAGAGAGAAGGAAAGAATAGGGGAAGAAGAAAGAGGCAATGAATAAAAAGGGGAAATAAATGATGTAAAGGAAGAGATAGAAGGAGAGGTGACTAATAAATAGTGGAGAAAAAAATTTCTAAGAATCTAGAGAGGGAAATATTACTAAACCAGCATTGTATACTGAAAGAATATATAAAGTTGGGATGGGTGAAATGGGAAAATATTCTTGGCAAAGAATTCAGTGTGAGAAAAGAACAGAAATAGAAATAAGGAAGACATGTTTAGAAGAGTAATCTGTCAGATCTGAAATTTGAGTTTATTCTTTCAATTTAATCAGTTAGCCTCTTACTTTTTCATGGGTATTGGCAAAAGGCATGAGATGCCTGGGTCAGAGAAAAAAAAAAATTATTACTTATAGCACAGCAAGGAGCATGATCATCAATACGTTTGTGGCAATTCACATGAGAGCAACAGACAGAGCTAGGGTGGATGGTTGCAAAAGAATAGGCTGTGTTACAAGAGAGGAATACTGAGCTGGGGGAAACCACTGGTTTACAGCAAGCAGTAAGCAAACAGGCTCTTTGTTCCAGAGGCAAAGACATTACCTCATCCCTTAAGGTTGCTTACTCCAAACACACCTGTGAGAAATGTGATTTCCAACTTCAGGTATGATGGCCCTCTTCTTTTGTCATTTTTGAAGAACCTTTTTGAAAACTTCTTTTTAAAAAAATAATTTCAAATTTACAGAGTTACAAAAACAAGCATAATACAGGAAACACCCAGATTTGACTATGACATTTTACTTCCATTTGCTTTATCATCTGCACTTATACTCTTTTCCTTTTTCTACATAACTTTTTTTCCTGAATCATTTGAAGATAAGTTACATATATCATGGCCCTTTAATCCTAAATTCTTCAGTATTTCCTAGGACTAAGGGAATTAACTTACATTAATATCAGTGCAGTTATCACCCTCAAAATTTTATATTGATATAATACTTTCTCCTAATCTCCCATATTTTAATTTTGCCAGTTATCTAGTTGTGTAATTTATAGCATTTCCCCCAGGATCTAATCTAAGCACAGATATTAAATTTATTCATCATGTCTCCTTAGTATCTTTTAACCTGGAACATTTCTAACAGTCTTTATCTTTTATATTTTAAACATCAAGCCCTTCTCCATTTTTTAATAAATCATTTTCTATTTAAAAAGTCATGATCTCTGTGATTAGAGACTGCTTTACTTCTTCCTTTTTAAACAATATTCCCTTTATTTCCCTTACTTGCCCTACTATATTGGCTAGGACCTCTACTACAGTAATGAATTTCATTGACTTCTGCTTTTACCTTTGTTATTTCTACCTTTTATGCATTTTGGATTTAATTTGCTCTTTTTTTTTTTTTTTTTTGCTACCTTAAGGTAAAAACTTAGATCTCTGACTTGAAGCCATTTCCCTTTTCTACTATAAGCATGTAATACTATAGTTTCCCTCTAACCTCTGTTTGTTTGTTTTTTTCTACTATAAGCATTTCATGCTATAGATTTCTCTCCAACCCCTGCATTAGCTGTATCCTGTCAATTTTGGTATATTTCTTTTCAATCAATTCAAAATGTTTTCTAATTTCTCTTGTGATTCCTCTTTGATCCATGAATTATTTAGAAGTGTACTATTGAATATCTAAATATTTGGGGGATTTTCCAGATATTTTTCTATTGTTGATTTGTAGTTTAACTCCACTATGAATAGAAAACATTCTTTGTATAAATTAAATTTTTTAAAAAAATTTAAGGTTGATTTTTTAATCCAGAATATGGTCTATCCTGGTAACTAACCCATGTGCACTTGAGAAGACTGTATATTCAACTGTTGTATTCCAAATTTCTGAAGTGTTCCACAAATATCAAAAGGGTCAAGTTGTTTGACAATGTTGTTCAAATCTTCAATTTTTTAGTAATGTTCTGTATCTTTTTATTGATTCTGAGTGTTGACATCTCCAACTATAATTGTGAATTTGTCTATTTCTCTTTTCAGTTCTAACAGTGTTTGCCTCATACATTTAGAGGCTCTAATTGTTAGCTGCATACACATACTTTCTGTTACGTGTATGCTATGTCTTCTTGGTGAGATAACCTCTTTATCCTTATGTAATGTCCTTCTTCAACACTGGGAATATTTCTTGTTCTGAAGTCTACTTAACTTCATGTCAATATAACTACTCTAGCTTTCTTTTGGTTAGTGTTTGTATAGTTCATCTTTTCCCATCCTTTTGATTGTTATCTTCTTACGTTTTTTAAAATGACTTTCTTGTAAACAGCATATAATTGTGTCTTGCTTTTTTACTAAACTGATCTTTCTTTCAATTTGAGGGTTTATAGACATTTGAGTCTTTATACTGACATTTCATTAACTTCATGTGATGTTTTATATGGCTGGATTTAAATCTACATTGTCAGTTCTTTATTTTTTCCATCTGCTCTGTTACTTTTCTGCTTTTTGCATTATTTTTATTATTCTATTTTATCTGTACTGTGGGCTTCTTGTTTATACTTTTTAAGCTTTTCAGTAATTGCCTGAGGATTTACAAGATATATCTTTAGTTACGGAGTACCTTCAAACAGTATTACACCACTACATATGTAGTATAAGAACCTCACAACAGTATTATCCCAATTTCTCCCTCCCTCCCTTTGTGCTATTGTCTTATTTTATTTTTATATGTGCTATAAATTTATAGTACATAGTTGCTATCTTTGATTTAGTAATCCTAATCATCTTTTACTGAAATGTAAAACAAGAATAAAATTTATTTTATATTTACCTTCATTTGTTCCATTTTCAATGCTTCCTAAATCTTTGTATAGCTCCAAGTTTCTGTCTGGCATTGTACTGTTTCAGCATAATGAAATTCCTTTACATTTCTTGTAGTGTAAGTAAGCTGGTATGAGCTCTCTCAGTTTTTGTCTGTCTCAAAGTTTTTATTTTTAAAAGATATTTTGTTCCACTGAACTCAGCTTTCTAAAAATATCATTCTATGTGTTCTGGCTTGCATAACCTCTAGTAAGGAGTCTGCTGTAATTCTTATGAATTCTTAGTATCTACTCTGTCTTTTTCATGTGGCTGCCTTGAACATTTTCCATTTATCTTTGTTCTTCAGCAACATTTTCCATTTATCTTTGAATTTTAATGTATCTCAGTAGGTATATATGTGTGTTTGTTTTTTGGAGGATAAGGGTATTCATCCTACCTAGTGTCTCTGAGATTCCTGAAGCTGTGGTTTGATGTCTGTAATTATTTTTGGAAAATAGTTGGCCATTACCCTTCAAATACTTTTTGTCTCAAGACCCCACCCCTCACCCACTCCCACCCCCATCATATCTTTCCATCTCTCTTCTCCTTCTGGGATTCCATTTTCACATATTACATCACTTGAAATTGTCCCACAGCTGTTGGATGCACTGTTTGTTTTGTGTGGTTTTTCCCCCTCTTTTCCACTATTTTTTTCCCCTTTGTGAGTAAGTTTGGGTAATTTCCAGTGATTTATCTTCACATTCACCGATTCTTTTCTCAACTTTGTTGAGTCTACTGGTGAATCTGTTAATGGCATTCTTCATCTCTAGTACCGTATTTTTCATTACTGGCATTTCCATTTGATTCTTTCTTATGTTAATAGTTTCCAATTCTGCTGATATTACCCATGTGATAGAACATGTTTTCCATCTTTTCCACTTGAGCATTTAATTATTTTAAATTCCCTGTCTGATAGTTTGACATCTAGATCATATATGAGTCTAGCTCTGCTGAATGCTTTTGGTTAAAAGCCAGACACCTTCTCTAGGAGTATAGAGACTGTGATAAATAATATGTATGCCTAAAAATGGGCGTGTCTCATCTTCTGCTACAACTTAGTGTATGGGGATAAGCCAACCTAGTCAAGAGTTTACTGTTTGGGTTTTATTGTTGCTATGATTACCTTGAGAATACCATTGGTTTAAAATTTATCTGGCATAACCTTGTGCTTAGAGTGGAAGTTGGGTTGTAGGATGTTTTCTTTTTCAATGCTCTTGTTCCACTCTCAGCTTTAGGCTTTTGCTCAGAGGCTATGCCTCAGAGAAGGTCTCTCTCCATATTATTGACCCATCCCCACACATTTGAGACCTGTTTCTTGGTGCTTGCTAGTCTAATGGTGGGCTTGTGGAGGCATTCTTTGTTGTTGTAGATCAGCCTCTGTCCCTGGATATCAAGGACAAGACTTTCTCAGGGGTCTTTTCCTCCAGTGGTAGAAGAACCTGCCCCTCCCGCAAAAGGGGTGGTTTTATCTCTTCCCTTCCCCAGGAAAGGTTTTCTGTCTCAAGGTCTTTAGGCTTTGTTCTACAGGAGAGAAGAATCCAGGCTTCACGCCTTTCCCACAGCAGCAACTGCTCTCCTCCCCTAGGCCTGCACTTAAAGATTCTCTCCCATCTTGTCCCCACTTAATCTCATGAGCACCCATTGAGGTCTGCAGAGAGTGGATATGAGCTCTCCCTTCAGGGCTGTTTACAGGAATTTTATAGTCTTATGGTAGCCTACTTTTGACCTTAAGCAATTTGTTAAAATTTTTAGCTATTTTGTTTCATTACCCATAAATTTTGGGCTTCTATTCATCTCAGTAAGTATATCTCTACATCATTTTTCATGGCAACATATTATTCCTTAAATAGACATACCATAAATGTAATACTGCACCTTTAGTTTGTTTCTGGTTTTCTACAATTACGCTTTAGTGAAAATGTGCACACAAGTATCTATATATGCATCAGTCAACAGTAATAATATTGGTATCCAAAATGATGTTATAAAACAACAACCATAATAGCTAATATCAAGTGCTTACTATCTTTTACCAGATGTTCTAAACTATAGATGCTACAGATCTTCACAATAATCCTATAAGGTACATATTATAATTATTTCTATTTTAAAGACAAAGAATAATTTTCCCCAAATGTTATCACACTAGTAATTTTAGCCTTCTTTTTGAGCATCATGTTTTCTAATAAAAACTTATATAACAGAGGAAGGAATAAGAAAAGGATAATGAGTCTAAAAGTACACTCTGTTAAATGAGTCCCATATGTCAAAGCTTGTGGGTGTGTGTGTTTGTATGTGACTAATGTTTTACAACATTCAAAATAGGATAGCATATCAATATATTGTAATTGTTTATTTTTAAACTACTTTGTAAGGCCTGGGGGCAGGCAAAGCTTTTGTCTACTACCTTACTGCTCCTATGATAGCATACTAAAGATTGTTTCTAACAAGTATGTCAAAATGTTAAAACATTAGAATCAATAATTCTAAATTTTTACTCTAGTCAGACTTATTTTTACCTCCTCATGCTAAATGAACGCACTATACAAATATCTCCAACTGTATAATTTCCAGAGATAATGCATAATATAGACATAACAGTGTACATCATATATATTTTCAATTTCAAAGAGTTGATCTAATTCAGAAAAAGACTTTCAAGCAATAACATTTCAAGAGATGGAAGGACTTTGAAATAAAGTGTGCTATTATGGAAACGTAAAATTCACAGGCTTTCCTCTTAGAATTACAAAGATTAAAGATACATACACCAACTTTTAAATCCTTATAATATTAACTGTTAATGCAATTGTTAAAGCAACCTAATTTTTAGCTCTGCTTTCAAATATGAAAATTTAAACTGTGAGCTGAATCTTGAGCTAGATGGCTAATTTTTCACATTGTCTTCCATACTAATTGGAAAAGATTAAATGTCTACAGTTTATTTTTGAATCTTTCATAAAAGTCTTAAAGAGAGTTCACTTTTTAGATAGTCTGAATAAAGAACTCACTTCCTCAGTTTTTTCATTCTGGTGAAGAGTCCAAAATCACTAACAATTATTTATTTCATCAAAACTATTAACGACACCAATGTTTGCCAGGACATTAACAGTGAACCTGTGCCCTCACTGCTGACTATGTGGGCACTGCAACAGTATAATGTGACTGTAGATACACCACTTTACATGAAATATAAACTCATCTCTTCATTATAGTTCAAAAAAACCTAGACTAGGCTTTTCAGAAACCTGAGGAATTTTAAAATGCAGATTAAATGTTTTACTCTTCAGGAAGAATGCCAAGATATTTAATAAGTAATTGTTGCATGAGATTTTTAAGCATTAATTCTGATTTAAATCCTCTGAGTTTAAACACACACACACATTCACTTACACACACAGAGAAAGTGAGCTATGAGAATACAGACCATAAGCATGACAGTTTTGGTTTTTTCAGAAGCACAAGGACCTACTTGACTTGCCCAAAGCCACATAACTAGTGAGTGTGAAAGCCAGAGGCAGACTCATGACTCCCAGCTCCAATTTCAGTGTTTTCCATTGCAAGGTCACTCGCCCATCAACTGTCAACTAATTTGACTGATTCATAAGGGCACATCTATTACTATTTCTATCTGAATTCCTGAATATAATCCAAATCTATCTTCTGGTTGTCAAACTTAAAACCAGTTCAAAAAACAACAACAATCACCACCTACGTCCTCAAAGGCCAAATTACTTTTCCTTCACAGTTAGTGTGCATGCACTTTTTTATACAGCAAAAAATGAATAAATTACTCTTTAAACTTTTAAATAAAATAACCAACGTATTTGAAATGCTGTAAAGGCTAAAAAGAAATGATCCAGACTTAAAAAAAAAAAAAAAATCAAACAAAGCAGAGGGTCTGCCTAAGAAGAAGTCAAGTGTTTTGTTAGTGGCTCACACCTGTAATCCCAATACTTTGGGAGGCCAGGGCAGAAAGATCACTTGAGCCCAGGAGTTCAAGACCAGCCTGGGTAACATAGGGAGACCCCACCCTACTAAAAAAAAAAAAAAAAAAAAAATTAGCCAGGTGTGATGGTACATGCCTGTGGTCTCAGCTACTTGGGAGGCTGAGGTGGAAGGATGGTTTGAGCCCAGGAGATCAAGGCTACAGGGAGCCAAGATCGACCCACTGCACTGCCGCCTGAGCAACAGAATGGGACCCTGTCTCAAGGAAAAAAAAAAAAAAAAGAAATCAAGTGTTTAGTTTGGTGGGTACTCCAAGTGCTTAAATCTAAATTATGTTAAAATTCTAAAATAAAGTAAGTGGGTTTTGGTTTACAGCCAAAGCATTTTCTCATTTAAATGGACATACTATTATTATGAAAAATATCCTTATAACCATGTAATTTCTTGAACATGAAGGGATCATTAGTGGGTAGATAGTTAAAATAATTACTGTTTTCTAAAATATACCTAACATGATTACCAAAAGACTGTGGCTGGTTTATGGGTAAGATTTCCGGTTAATAGGAAAAAAAAATCTAGTGTACTGAATAAGAACTGACTTAGATGTTAACGGCAAAAAAGAACAAAGTATTCGGCACAACTCTGAATGACTATTTGTAACTTATTACATATTTGCCTTAAATTACTAGCTGTGAATAGCCTTGCTTTTAAGGCAAAAACAGAAATTCAAATTTTAAAAACCTCATTTTATTTAGTTTCAGCAATTTGTATTACCTACACGTTTTGTTGCCTTAAGAGCACAGGAGTACCTACTAGCTGTGTGACCTTGAATATATTAGCAGCTTCTTAGATTTCCCATCTGCAAAATGGGGTAACAGCTATCTTACGGAGTTGAGAGGATCAAACTAGGGTAGATACAGCACTTAGTTAGCCTGCCCCATAACATGAATTCAGAAAATGGTAACCATCATTATAATAATATGGTAGACATACTTTCAAAAGGAGTAAGAATTAAGAAGGTGAGAATACTTGAAAGCTGGTGAGCACCTCGAACAATTTTGAGGAGAGGGAGAGGGAGAGGACAAGACCGCTGAGTCTAAAATATGGCACATGGAAAAGAAAATAATTGGGAACATCTCTAGAGCTACCAAATGCTTTGAAAATTAGATTATAAATGTGTGTACACATATGTGTAAGGACATGTGTGTGCGCATGCATGAGAACACATACATGTATAACTTTATGAGTTTAAAATCAAAATTATAAATTAATTCTAAATGGATTTCTGTAGATTTTTTAGTAAATTTCAGTGTAATACATTGGATTACAGTAAATTTAAGGTTCAAATTTTAAAAAGGAAATTAAAGCCAGATCCATACAAAAGATGCAAAGTTTCCTACAGAGTATCCATGTTCGGTTGGCAAAGAAGTCACAAGTTAAATATGGGATAGATATCAAAATACACAAAATACCACTACATATTCCATGGAAAATCTGGATAATGGTAAGTTTCTTCATTTTGCTCACCTAATAAATCAAGATGCCCACAGACATCAAGATATTCTAAAAAGACTTTTTTCCCTGACTGGTTTAACAATTATGTTTTCTCTCCCTTCAGTTTATAATTCTCCATGTTAGAAATATCTATTAATATAATACCTGTACATCTAAATGTTACATTAAACCTAAGCTTACCATTGTTAAACTTCTCAAACTAATTCCCAGAAATTATTTTCTTTACAGTTTGAGAGTAGCCCCAAATAAAGTTCTCCTTTATTACAAATCAAAAAAATCTTATATCCTAACATTACCCTCTACTCTGGAAAGTTGTGATATAAAACAAAACTAACAGAAAACTTTCACCATCACCAAACACAACATCAGTTCTATTTTTATTGCTGAAAGCATTCTTAGACGAGTTTCATCTAGTCAGATCTGGAAGTGTGAACTGGTAAGTTCGGTCTAAGAATTTTCCTTTAAAATAAGTAATAATTTAATATCTCCATTTCTAAAATTCTGAGATCAGAAAAGAAGAAAGAAGGGGGGAGGAAAGGAGAGAAATGGAGAGGAAAAAAAGAAGGGAAGACAGACGGAGGGAGAGAAAAGGGGAAAGGGAAGGCCTCTATTCAAGCAATGTTCAGAAGAAACAAAAAAAGATAGAAGAGAGACAGAGACAAGCTAGGGAGTCCCAGAGCATTTTTGGTTTTAAAAATAAAATAAAATAAAATCGCCTCCAAAAGATTAAGTCATGTTGAAATAAAGAAAATGAGGTATGAAAAGTAAAGAAAAACAAAGATCAGAAAGTTGCAGTTTCAGACTTTTGACAAAACTGGACTCTACATCTTGAACCGCATGATACATGTATTGTTTCCGCCTGATTCTTACAAGATAATCGGCAACTTAAATTTTATATTATTTAAGAACTAAGCTTCTTCCTAATATCCTCAGATTCTTTCAAAATGAAGGAAGAGGAAATAAATTCCAAAAGGAGGGAAATAAATATGTGAGCACCTCAATTTGTGCGTAAATCATTTTTGGCTTATTGGAATGATTTCTGTTATCTCTTTGTAATCCCAAAATAATAAAAATAACTAAAAACTATACTTCAGAGTAAAATGAAGCCATGCAACTATACATATACATCTAATGAAGATGAAACTTTATACTATTTACTGCCACTGACAGTCTGTACTGGCTGGGCCAAAAAAGCCCAGTAGATTCTAAACAGAGGATTTTCTTAAATTAAAAATATACACACCCACACAAACACACACATGTATCTTTAATTATGTATATATATTTATGATGACATACTTGAAATCAGAAATTATGCACTGTTTACCCCAGTGGTCAAATAATCCCTCTTTTATAGGTCAACACTAACCAAAATAGATTACATATTAATATTTCATTGTAAATTAATTACATATTTTATGATTTAAATTAACTTCAAAAACTTTTACTAAAGATCTTTTAAGTATCATTAGCAATCAAACATGTTATTTCCCCCTATTAAACAAGCAAAAATTTAGAAATGGAATTCAATACTGGCAAGCGATTTTCAAAGCTGCAGTCACCACTGAAGTAAAAGATCTTTGAAGACACAAATTATGTCTCACTTATCTTTGTATGTACAATTATAAGCACAGTGCCTAGTACAGTAGGTGCTCAAACAGGTTATCTGATTGAACAAATGAAAGAAAGACAACTTCACATTATTTAACAAGAATCATAAAAATATTTATCCCTTTGAATCAGTAATCCCACCTACAAGAAGCTACCCAAAAGAATACTTAGATAACAGGGATATTCAATTAAGTTATATTTTTAACTTGAGAAACTAAAAATAATCTAAACATCAAAAGTTAAGGAAATGAAAAATAAATTGTGGTTTACTCACATGATAGTATACAGTAGCAAAGGTTTTTTTAATGAGGAAATTTTGATGAAACAAAAAAAATGTTCATGGTAATATGTTAAGAAAAAAGTCAAATAAAATCGCTTGATCTCAACTGTTCTTAAAATGTACTAAAAAAAGAATGGTAGCAAATATACATAGATGCAAAAAGTGTCTTTTGCTATTTTTTCCATACTGGTATGTTTATTTAAAAACAGAAAACAATACTGCTGTTATTTTTCATTATTATTATTAATTTACATGGGGGGGTTCTGGGCAGTACAACAAACTTAAAAAGTTAAACAATAAATCATAAGGTGATCTCTACCCATATCTGGGCTGGCTCCTCAATTAATATGGACAAATCACAAATTTTAGGAATTACTTTTTAGTTAAGTGGCAATGAAGTAAAAGTAGGGTCTGAAGGCAAATAAAATACCCTTTTGGATTTTTCTTTCTTGGCTTCACATTTGACTTGCAGACTGTTTCCACTATTACATCACTGATATTTCTTCACAATTTTAAAAACACTTATTAGAATCTTTTGTGAATAGAAAAGCCTTAAAATAAGGAGATCTTCTAATCTACTAGACACTTTAGTGGAAGCCCAAACCATATGAAATTGGAACTTCCTGCCAATCTTACTATTCTACAGTTATTCAGAAAGGTCTCAGTTGGAGTGAATACACAGTCATCCCTCGATATCCACGGACTATTGGTTTCAGGACCCCCCTGAAGACACCAAAATCCACAGATGCTCACAAGCCTTATATAAAATAGTGTTGTATTTGCATATAACCTATGTACCTCCTCCTGTATACTTTAAATCATCTCTAGATTACTTGTAATACCTAATACAATGTAAATGTTATAAAAATTGTTGTTATACTATATTGTTTAGAGAATAATGACAAGAAAAAAGTCTGTATATATTCAGTACAGACACAACCATCTTTTTTTTCCAAATATTTTTTCTCTTTTTTGTCTGAGACAAGGTCTCTGTCACCCAGGCTGGAGTGCAGCAGCATGATCACAGCTCACTGCAGTCTTGACCTCCTGAGCTGAAGCCATCCTCCTATCTCAGCCTCCCAACTACAGAGTAGCTGGAACTACAGGTGCATGCCACCACATCTGGCTAATTTTTTTGTACATACAGGGTCTCACTATGTTGCCCAGGCTGGTCTCAAACTCCTGGCCTCAAGCGATCCTCCCTTCTTGGCCTCCCAAAGTGCTGGCATTACTGGCATGAGCTACCATGCCCAGCCTCAAATATTTTCATTAAGTGGTTGGTTGAATCCACAAGTAAGGAACCCACCATTACAGCGGGCCAACTGTATACATTCATTTTTAAATTTCTTAACTGGGCACGTATATATCAGGTTATATTAATTTTAAAATCAGTAACTATTTTTCTAGTAGAACATTCAACCGTATTTCATTTAGGGCTACACATTACAATAACACACACAACCAACACATTAGTCAATTGAAAGCTTAGCTTTATATGTCTATTATTAATTTTTGTAACACAGTGCTTCAAAACTCAATCATGAACCCACTTTAAAGAAATAAAATTCAGGGCCAGGAGCGGTGGCTCATGACTGTAATCTCAACACTTTGGGAGGCTGAGGCGGGTGGATCACGAGGTCAGGAGATCGAGACCATCCTTGCTAACACTGTGAAACCCTGTCTCTACTAAAAACACAAAAAATTAGCTGGGTGTGGTGGCACGCGCCTGTAGTCCCAGCTACTTGGGAGGCTGAGGCACGAGGTCAGGAGATTGAGACCATCCTGGCTAACACTGTGAAACCCTGTCTCTACTAAAAATACAAAAAATTAGCCGGGTGTGGTGGCACGTGCCTGTAGTCCCAGCTACTTGAGAGGCTGAGGCAGGAGAATTGCTTGAACCTGGGAGGCAGACGTTGCAGTGAGCAGAGATTGCGCCACTACACTCCAGCCTGGGAGACAGAGCGAGACTTCACATCAGAAAAATAATAATAATGAAAAAGAAAAAAGAAATAAAATTCAGGAGTAACTGAAAAGCTATCAATTTACTATTTCTCACACAATCTGTTTCCTATCCCAAGCTAGGATATAAATAGTCACATTAAGCCTAATATAAAACACTGGTCTTAACAGAACTGCTACAAAATTAGCTGTCAAACTTTTATTGAAAGTGTTTGGCTGGGGCGGTGGCTCACACCTGTAATGCCAGCACTTTGGGAGGCCGAGGTAGTCAGATCACCTGAAGCCAGGAACTCAAAATCAGCCTAGCCAACATGGCAAAACCCCGTCTCTACTAAAAATATAAAAATTAGCTGGGTGTGGTGGCACACACCTGTAGTCCCAGCTACTTGGGAGGCTGAGGCAGGGGAATCGCTTGAACCAGGGAGGCAGAGGTTGCAGTGAGCCGAGATCATGCCACTGCACTCCAGCCTGGGTGACAGAGCAAGACTACGTCTCAAAAAACAAAAAAGAAAGAAAGTGTTTGTTTGAAGGTGGGGGTGACAGGAGGAGGACAGAGGAACTAGGACTAGATTCTGCAGCCAGACGGTTTCAGCTCAAATTCCAGCTCTACACTTAGCAGATATGTGACCTTGGGGCAAGTAACTAAAACCTTCTGTGCCTCAATTGCCTCATCTATAGAAGGGGGATGAGGACAATGGTAATACCTCATAGGGCTGGTACTGGAATTAAATGACACATATCAAACTTCTGTAGCAACTCTAATAACACTATTTTATTCTATCTAGAATAAAGTACAAAATGGTGGTTGTAGCAAGTGGAAAATCAATGGAAAAAAAGAAAACACTCTCTGCCACTAATAATTTAATTTCCTCATTGTTTCCTCATATCCCATTCTTCTTTTATGTTTTTAATCTTAAGCGAAAGATGAAAGCAATACCTTTCAGTGTAAGTTAATGAAGCATAAGTGAGGTGGGGCTACTGTTCAGATTTCTGTATTAGCTGATCTACCAGACAATCACGGTGGGATGGAGAAAAGTAGGTAAACAATTACTCTAGAGCAGTATGCTATGGCCAATCTTCTGAAAAAGACTACTGTATTTTGGTGACTCAACTTACAGATTTTTCATTTAGTCTACAAATCTCAGCATGCAATAAGGCTCCTGCCTCCTCCATTCCCATGAAAACGTTCTGATAGAGAGTACCAGTGATGCCAGTGATGAAGCTACTTGTTATTACACTATATTATTATTGGCTCCTCTTCCTCTACCCACTCTTTCAACACCTACATGCCCCAAGGATTTATTGTTGGTCTACCACTATTCTCCCTCTGTAGAATTCTCAGGGTTCTAACTACTACCCAAATACCAAAGACTCCAGATATCTCGCCTGAGCTCTAGACTCCTACACATATGACCCAAAAAAACTCACCTTAAACTCAGTAGGCTGAAAAGTAAATGTACCATCTTTGGTGGTTCTCCATCTATAAAATCCAAGCCCCCCAGATATGGCTTCACCCTATTACTTCAGCCTCATCTTCTGCCATTCAGATTCATTTTACTGGATGCCTAGTAAAATAAAATTACCGCCTAATATTTATTGAATGCCCATTAAATGCCAGGTACTATTCTAAGCAGTTTATATAATTAACTCATTAGTCTTCACAACAATCCCATAAGGTAAATGCCATTATTTCTATTTTGTGCTGAAGAAAGTATCCTGCCTAAGCTAATAAGCAGTGGAGTCAGTATACAAACCTATATCCTGTGCTCTTACCTTCAAACTATGTAATTCTTATACATGCCTATATATGTCCAGTTTGTCTTGGGGATTCAAAGCGAACAAGACAAACAAGGCCTATTTCCTCATGGGACCTACATTCTAGTTAGCAGAATAAACAAATATACACAAGGAAGAAAAAACTTATTATTGACTATTTTAAAGTGCCAGGAAGAAAATAAACAGGATTTTATCATAAAAAAAAATACAGAAGGACCTACTTAACAGTGATGAAAGAAGGCTTCTCTGAAAAGTGACATTTTTTTTTTTTGAGATGGAGTCTCCTTCTGTTGCCCAGGCTGGAGTACAGTGGCACAATCTCGGCTCACTGCAAGCTCCGCCTCCCAGGTTCACGCCATTCTCCTGCCTCAGCCTCCCGAGTAGCTGGGACTACAGGCACCCGCCACCACACCTGGCTAGTTTTTTTGTATTTTTAGTAGATACGGGGTTTCACTGTGTTAGCCAGGATGGCCTCGATCTCCTGACCTTGTGATCTGCCCGCCTCGGCCTCCCAAAGTACTGGGATTACAGGCGTGAGCCACCGCGCCCAGCCTGAAAAGTGACTTTTAAGGTGAGACCTGAAAGATGAGAAGTCTCCAACTCTGCAAAGAGCAGCGGTATACCCGGAAGTGTACTGGGTTGTTAGAAAGCACAAAGACGGTGTTATGGACTGAATTGTGTCCCCCCTGCCAAATTCATACGTTGAAGCCCTAACCTTCAACGTGACTATATTTGAAAACTTGGCATTGAAGGAAGTAGTTAATGTTAACTAAGGTTATAAGAATGGGGCACTAATCCAACAGGACTGGTATCCTTATAAGAACAGGAAGAGACATCAGATCAATTGATCTCTCTCTCCCCGTCTCTCTCCACACCCCCTCCATATGAATACACAGGACAGGCCAGGTAAGGCTACAGTGAGAAGGTGGTAGTCTACAAGCCAGGAAGGGACATCTCAGTAGAAGCCAACCCTGCTGACACTTTGCTGTTGGATTTCCAGCCCCAAGAACTGTGTAATAATAAATTTCTGTTGTTAAAGGCACCTGGTAACAATTTGTGATGAATGCCCAAGCAAACTAATACAGACAGCAAAGACCTATGTATTTTGTAGGAACTGACAAAAAAATCAGTAGGCTGGAATACAAACAGCAATGGAGATAATAATACACCGAACACTCTTAAGCCCATAGATGAGAGATGAATCTTTTTTTTTTTTTTTTTTCTGAGACAGAGTCTCGCTCTTGTTGCCCAGCCTGAAGTGCAGTGGTGGGATATCGGCTCACTGCAACCTCCGCCTCCCGAGTTCAAGCGATTCTCCCGCCTCAGCCTCCCAAATAGCTGGGATTACAGGCACATGCCACCACGCCCAGCTGATTTTTGTATTTTTAGTAGAGACGGGGTTCACCATGTTGGCCAGGCTAGTCTTGAGCTCCTGAACTCAGGTGATCCGCCTGCCTTGGCCTCCCAAAGTGCTGGGATTACAGGCGTGAGCCCCCATGCCCGGCAGGGAGATGAATCTTAAATGAGATGATCAGAAAAATATTAAAAGTCCCTGAAGCAGGGATTTAAAGCCAGATGGCAACTGGATTTTGAAACATACAGATTTTTGTTCTCTCAGCAACTGGGAGACACTAACATATGGCAACTAGAGGTCAGTATATTCCACCCTGGAGTGCACAAAACAGTCCCGCACAAAAAAGAATTGAACCCTTTCCAAAATGTTAATGCTGTCCTATTTGGAAACAATGGCTAATGGATATGTTTTGTTTACTCGGGGGACTACAGAAAACTAAGATTTGCCACCCCTAACCCCCTACTTTTTTTTATTTCTTACACTACCAAGGACAGTTCTGAGCTAATTCTGGTTAATTAATACACATATGTTGTACTTATGTGTAAGGAACAGTATTGGATAATTTGGAACATGCACAAATGAATCAGATGCCAATGCTAGGCCTAAGAGCCACAGAAAGGGAGATAAGATACCATACTTCATCACACTAAGGCGCCATTGGTTCCATGACACACCATTTTGTGAACCACTAAGATGGGAATAACGCCAAGTAAACTATGACATCAACTGTAAGATACATCCTAATTTTAGAGTTTTTAAAATGTGAAAAAAAGTACATCTTAAAAAATGAAAGAGAATATGAAATAGCTAAAATGCAAATAGTTGGAGTAGTCATATAAAGAGTTCATATAAATGATAAAATATAACCAGTTCTGATAATCAGGAACTGCTTCATTCTGAAGATCGTACTAAGCTGAGTCTTGAAGAATGGATAGAAGAAGTGCAAGAGATTGAGGGAAAGAATATTTTCAGAAAGAGAGTACTGCAAGAAGAATAGAAATAATAAAATAAGGAAATAAGGGATGGCTAAAAAGAAATAATTAAAGTTAGAAAGACAAGTTAAAGAAAAGGAAGGAAAGAAAGGAAGGAAGGAAGGAAGGAAAAGTAAAGACAAGACAAGACAAGACAAGACAAGACAAGACAAGACAAGACAAGACAGGGTTAGGAAAACTTTGAATACAGCTGGGTTAAAGAGCCTGAAACTGACTGCACAGGCTTGAGGAATCATTCTCAAACATTTTTTTTTTCACTCCAACACATTTTAGGGTTATAATATACATAAAAAATATTGCTCACTCCAGTAGTGTTTCTAAACTGTGGGAGATGGGAAAGGAGCAGAAAAGATTAATTCTTATGGGAGTACACAGCAGTGTAAAAAAGCCCTCCAGAAAATCCTAACTTCTATCTGCACTCCATCTTGAGAATCACTGCTCTACACACTAGGAAACCCCTAGAAAAATTTTAGCAGCCAACTGATTCAGGTACATTTCAGGAAAGGGAATCCAGCAGAAGTGTGTGAAAATGAATGAGAACTGGAATAAAAACTGAGAATCTGCATAAAAAGCAGATCTTCTAAACCAGAAGTTAATGAATTTGTCCTAGATAGTTACAGTGGGAAAAAGTATGGTGGAACTATTGTAAGAAACAGAAACAATAAAGGGAAGAAAAAGTTTAAGACATAGATAATAAGCTCAAACAAATAAAAATGCATTCTAAAATACAGTGAGGTCATTCAGATGATGTCTAACAGGCATCCAAGACTGGAAAGAATGAAGGCGGTTAGGTCTGAAAAAAGAGACATGAAGATCATTTAAAAAGAAGTTTAAATGTAAATCCATAATTTGGATGAAACTCCAAAAATGGGGCAAGAGAAGTATGGCAAAAATAAATATTTTTTGTAGTGAATATGTATTAAAGCATTTAATTGCTTTATTACAAGTAACTGTCTTCATATCTTAACAATAAACTTACGCTGATCCTCATCATCACCAATTTTAACACTATAAATTTGCAAACAAAAAATCAAAGCATAGTGAAGATTATGAATATGTTCAGGATCATATAAAGCAATACAAAACAGCATTTCATTAATTTCCAATCTGGTGTTAAAAACTTTTAGACGGGCCTCTTATGTGTCTGTGTATGGATAAACTTAGTCAAAAACAATAATCCACACCTTTGAAAGCAGCGCCTAGAGCAACCAATATATATATATATTTTATAGAGACAGGGTCCTGCTCTGTCCCCCATGCTGGAGTGTAATGGTGCAATCATAGGTCACTATAACCTCGAAGTCCTGAGCTCAAGTAATCCTCCCACCTCAGCCTCCCTAGTAGCTAGTGCTACAGGTGCATGCACCACCACACCTGGCTAATTTTTATTACTCTTTGTAGAGACAGAGTCTTGCTATGTTGCCCAGGATGGTCTCAAACTCCTGGCCTCAAGCGATCCTTCTGCTTTAACTTTCCAAAGCACTGGGACTGCACAGGTGTGAGTCAGCATGCTCAGCCAAAATCAATGATTTTTAAATCAAGTATTCTTTTCAAGTTTTTTTAAGTATAAAGGCAATGTCATCTTTTACATGAAAAAGTGTGGTTTCGGCTGGGCGAGGTGGCTCACGCCTGTAATCCCAGCACTATGGGAGGCTGAGACAGGTGGATCACAAGGTCAGGAGATCGAGACCATCCTGGCTAACACGGGGAAACCCCGTCTCTACTAAAAATACAAAAAAATTAGCCAGGCATGGTGGCGGGCGCCTGTAGTTCCAGCGACTCGGGAGGCTGAGGCAGGAGAATGGAGTGACCCGGGAGGCGGAGCTTGCAGTAAGCCAAGATCAGCCACTGCACTCCAGCCTGGGCAACTGAGCAAGACTCTGTCTCAAAAAAAACAAAAAAAAGTGTGGTTTCAAGTCACATATGGGATAAGAAAGAAGAAAACCTCTAATTCTCTGGTATTAACCCTTAAATGTGATATAAACATACCAAACAGCTTTAGTTAAATTCTTTTTGACTAAAATACCTTCTGACAAACTTCCTCTTAGAGTGATACAGTCAGGGCTGGGGGGAAGGAAAGAAAGAAAGAAAAGATGGAAGGAAAAATGAAGAAACCAAAAAATGAAAAAAGAGGCAAGAGAAGGAAAGGAAAAGCAACCCAGCTGAACTAGCTAACAGGGTAAAGATGGTAAAGATCATTACATTACCCTGAAACAAATTTATTGAGCAAAGAAAATGATGTGGTTTTCTGCTGGAAGCAGGACACAATAAAGACACAGGCTATTTAACTGTACAACAGTGCAGGTATTTTTCTCAAAATAGTTGGACCTCACAGGAATCTGATAGGGAAGACACAGGCCACCAAGCCGCACAAACAGCACACAATCTGCATTATCTCTAAATGATTAGATGAACTGAAACAGCAGACAGCAGCATCTTAACAGCTTGTCAAAACATGTCCTTTTGCTACTTTATGACTGCTTTTGCTTAAGCAAATTCTCTCAAAGGAAAAAACAAAAAGCCAAGTAACTTTCTAAAACTTTATGTCCTACAATAATACTATGGTTAAATTTACAGCAAGAAATTTATATGGTTAAATTTATAGCAAGAAAAATTTAGAAAAAATGTGAAATACCTCAGTCTGACCTTCATGGGCACTGGTCTCATGAGTAACTCGGATGGCCTGTAATAAGAATAAAGGTATTCATTGGAAAAAATGCCTATACTCAACTTTTTAAATGAAGACAACAAAGCTAAATTTTAACACCTAAAGTCTTCTAAAGAAACAACAAATTGAAGGAAATTTAAGAAAAGCTTAGTACTAGATATTTAAGAATGATATCTGGGTAATCAAATGAATTGCTGTACTGTGTAACCCGTAAATCTCTGAAAACTTAGGAAATTGAATATCTGATTATTTGTAATTTCCAGGCTCTAAGTAGGGGCCATTTAACTTATTCAGTTGTTAGAACTAACACTTAACACTTTATTCAATTGAGACTAGAATAAAGTAAGCATTTCACAGATAGAGACTAAAGAAGCTTATCTCATCTGTTTCTCCAGGTTCCATGCTCCTCTGCAGCTCTGGCTGTATTTATGTTTAATCATGCAGTTTCAGTCAGCAATTGAGAAATGTGGAGCACAACTCATGCATTTATCAGAAGCTACAGAATTTAGTTTCCTGAACTAAAAAAAAACCACTCTTATAGTACCCACTATTTGCAAACATCCAGAGAAATGGGCACAATAGTAAATTACAGGTGAAAGTACAATCTTTATAAATAGCAATTTGGCAATAAATAAATATCCAAGCCTTAAAAACATGCAAACTATTTTATCCAGCAACTTCTCTTCTAGGAGTTTATATATTTACATATAATTGTACATAATTATATATAATTAAGGATATTTACAAAGATTTAGCTACAATGATGTACCTTGCAGTATTTATTAAAATAGTGAAAAAGAAGAAAAACTATTAAATTTCTAACAATAATTTATTGGTGAAATACAATACTACATAATGGAAAGCTATGCAGCCATTAAATAATATCAAATATATACTTACTGGTATGTAATACGTTTCTGATAAGTGAAAAAAGCAAGTTATAAAACAGTATTACAGTATGATCAAATTCTTGTTTAAAAAATTGTGTATATATATATACACTCCCTAAAAAATATTAATGTTTATCTACCTCTCATTAGTAAGAGTACTGATTTTCATGTTTATTTTTATGTATAATAAAGATGTTTTATGAAGTCTCCAGTTTTTTTTTAAAGAAAAAAACAATTTAAAATTCTCAAAGTATATTGGAATGCATAACAACATAATCAAACCAATTAATTTATCAGGCACAAATTCTACATAAGGCATTGTTCTAACCAAATAATTTGTAGATTATACGCCTAATTTCAAAGAACTTACAATCTATTTAATAATGTTATTAAAAGGTCAAAAGATTTCAAAAGAAAAATTGATTCCAAAAGCAATAAATTTTAAAAACCATTTCAGAACAGTTATATGAAGTGGTAAAATCACTATCATCTGAATTAAATATAACCTATATTATATATATAGCCTAGTTTATGTGGCCTTTATTACACTGATGAAATAGCTACAGTATGGTCTAATGTCTACCTTTAAACCTTTGCTTTCTCCTTTCATCTTCAGCCTGGTTCCAAATTCCCAATAAAAGATACACAGGGTACTGGCAGGTATATATTTATTTATTTTAGGGAGGGAATAGTAAGGAATAGTCAATCATAAGATATTTTATTAATTTGTAAATCAGGGCCAGGCACGGTGGCTCATGTTTGTAATCCCAGCACTTTGGGAGGCCGAGGTGGAGGGACTGCTTGAGGCCAGGAGTTCGAGACCAGCCTGACCAACATGGCAAAACCCTGTCTCTACTAAAAATACAAAAATTAGCCAGGTGTGGTGCCACGCACCTGAAATCCTAGCTACTTGGGAGGCTGAGGCACAAGAATTGCTTGAACCCAGGAGGCAGAGGTTGCAGTGAGCAGAGATGGCATCACTGCACTCCAGCCTGGGCGGCAGAGCGAGACTGCATATCAAAAAAAAAAAAAATTTGTAAATCAAACTGATTTTATCCATTCAGTCAGCTCTGAACATAGAAAAGAAATGGCAACTTATCAGCATTTGTGGATATTTCAAAGTTATCTGAAAAGTACAAAAGGCTTTTCTTAATGGATACAATAAAATCCATAATTGCTCAAAACTATGGTTTCAAGACAAAACCCCCAAACACATCTACAATCCCACAAACTTTTGCCCACATGAGATCAAAACGGAAAGAAGGTACCGACATCATAGTTCTCCAGGTATCTGGCTCGTTCTTCAGGGCTCATTGACACAGATTCCTCCAGGAATTTTTTCAAGGTTGATCCAGATTCTGAGAATATGAAAGAAGATAAAATTAAAAAGGCTTGATACAGCAGAGAGACCAATATATGAAAATACTAGAAGTATGCTACTATTTTTCAGGTTAAATTCTTTCATTGGTAGGTTAGAAATGTAAGGATCATGTTATAAATGATAAGCCTTACATTATTAATATTTGTCCATTTGTTTAACCCCTATTAGTCAACAATATAAAAGAATGAGAAGGATTAATATTTCTTCTAACAGTATATACATTCCCATCATCAAGGAAGCAGGGAATGCTTTATTTTATAGTTTGAAGAAAGAATTAGAGCACCACCTACTGCTCAATGCAATTAACTTGTATCTTAAGGGGGAAAAAATGCAGTAATGAAAAATCATTTACCAAAGTGCATCTTGTCTTTATTGTTTGCAATAGCATGAATCAGTCCAATTGTTCCACAGGCATTGCTGATTGTTTGCTTCATGAAATATACTGATGATGTAACATCTTGTCCCTGAGATTTTATTTTTTCTTCCTCTTCTGTTCTGAATACTTCATACTATTAAAAAAAAAAAGTCAACAGTGTATTTGTGGAAAATAACATATTAAAAAACTCAGTCTGTAAAAGAAAAAATGCAAATGATAAAAAATATTATTATGAAAGAAAGGGTTTAAAATAAAAGAATTAATTTATCACCTACCAGACTGACAAAAGATTGAAAAATGAATAGCAGTAGCCAGTGAAGGTGAAGGTATGGGGAAAAAGGCATTCTCCTATGCTGTTATTAAAAGTATGTATTTGTACGATCACGTTACAGGGCATATGGCAATATGTATTAACATTTTAAATTCTCATACACTCCAATAAGCAATTTCCTTTGTAGGAGATTGGTCTAAGACATCAATGGAGATTTGGTTAAAATATATTATGGCATATCGTAATAGAATACTATAAAGCATAATAGATTTACATATTCTGATTTAGAACTTTGTCCACAACTAAGTGTGGTTATAGGTCAGTTTATATTAATAACAATTCCCATTTATGTTTTTAAAATATGTATATACACATTGGAAAGTCTGAAAGGGTGTGCAAAAACTTAATAGAGGTTATCTTTGGGCCAAGAGATTACTGGAGAACTTTTACTTGCTAATTGTTACGTTTCTATATTGTTTATCATTGGCAAAAATATTTTTCCTTTTGGAAAATCATAGCATATTTATAAAATTCACATTATATAATCTGTAACTGACACTAACCATTATCTATAATAACTGGTTGTAAAAGCAATAGGGTATAATAATAAGCATCAAAAATGTGGGCTCTATAGCTGACTGCCTGGGCCCACGTCCTGGCTCAGCTGTTATTAGCTGTGTGACTTTAGCAAATTATTTAATGTCTCTGTATCTCAGTTTCCTAATAGTAAGAAAGAGTAAAAAATAGCAAAAAGGTTAAAAAATCGGTGAGGTGGGGAGGAGAAAGATGATTTTATTGTTTTGTTTATAGTTTTTCCATAACTTTCTGCTTCCAATAGAGCGGGGTCAGCAAATGACAGCCTACAGGCCAAATCTGGCCCACTGCCTCTTTTCATAAGTAAAATTTCATTATGTATTGTCTATGGCTGTTTACAAGGCAAAGTCAAATAGTTGCAACAGACACTTAAAGGCCTGCAAAGCTGAAAATATTTACTATCTAGTCCTTTACAGAAACATTTTCCTGATCCCCTGCAATAAAAGAAACAAACGATGTCTATAGAAAACCTACAAGTAGTTAAGAAACTGCTTCTTTTATCTCTTGCCTATGGAAGAAAAAAATAATAGACTGCTTCTAACAACAAATGTATCTGTGCTCAAAATATGAATTTTATTATTGTGCTTCTAAATTACATTTTAAGTAACACTATCAGAATAAATGGACATTATTCATGTAAGTTCGATTGATAAAAAACTGGAAAGGTTCAGTATGTTAAGGTCTTATGCTGAAAAGTTTACAGTTCTACAGCTTAGTCTGTTGTTAATGTTCCTGATGACAAAGCAAAATAAGATTTGATAATTTCAAGATGTAATGTGTAGGAAAAATTCCTAAAATGATACAAAGCAACTAAAGGAAAAAAAGAAATTATGGTAGATCAAAAAATTAAAAAAAATAAGGCCAAGAGACATAAATATCAGAGAGAAATAAAATTTATAGCCTCTTTGCCTATGATTTACTGGCTGGACCGCACTATCACAAAGAACACATTCAAAACACTATCACTGGCCGGGCGCAGTAGCTCACACCTGTAATCCCAGCACTTTGGGAGGCTGAAGGGGGTGGATCATCTGAGGTCAGGAGTTCAAGACCAGCCAGGCTAACATGGTGAAACCCCGTCTCTACTGAAGATACAAAAATTAGCCAGGTGTGGTGGCACATGCCTGTAATCCCAGCTACTCCAGAGACTGAGCCATGAGAATCGCTTGAACCCAGGAGGCAAAGGTTGCAGTGAGCTGAGATGGCACCACTGCACTACAGCCTGGGCAACAGAGCAAGACTCTGTCTCAAAACAAATGATAACAACACAACACTATCATTGATGGTAATTATCAAAAAGAGATAATAAATAATGGTGAGGGTGTGGAGAAAAGGGAACCCAAGTGCACTGTTGGTGGGAATGCAGATTGGTACAGCCATTATGAAAAACAGTATGGAGATTTCTAAAGAAATTAACAATAGACTACCATATGACCCAGCAATTCATATCCAAAGGAGACAATCACCTTGTAAAGGAGATGAATCTCTACCTTGTAAAGATATCTGCACTTTAGGCCAGGCGTAGTGGCTCACACCTGTAATCCCAGCACTTTGGGAGGCCAAGGCGGGTGGATCACGAGGTCAGGAGATCGAGACCATCCCAGCTAACATGGTGAAACCCCGTCTCTACTAAAAATACAAAAAATAAGCCGGGCGTGGTGGCAGGCACCTGTAGTCCCAGCTACTCGGGAGGCTGAGGTGGGAGAATGGCGCGAACCCAGGAGGCGGAGCTTGCAGTGAGCCGAGATCGCACCACTGCACTCCAGCCTGGGCAACAGAGCGAGACTCCATCTCAAAAAAAAAAAAAGATATCTGCACTTCCATGTTCACTGCAGCATTACTCAGGATAGCCAAGATATGGAAACAAACCAAATGTCCATAGATGGCTAAATGGATAAAAACATGGTATAGTCTATGACCATAGTACCCTGAATGTACCCAATCCTATCTGATCTCAGAAGTTAAGCAGGGTTGGACCTTGTTAGTACTTGGTTGGGAGAAAAGGTGGCATAGATATAGACACACACACACACACACACACAGAAATATTATTCGGCTTTAAAAAAGGGAGATCCTAACATTTGCTACATGGATGAACCTGAAGGACATTATACTAAGTGAAATAAGCCAGACACAGAAAGAAAAATATTGTATAATATCACTGATACATGGAAAAGCTCAAATACACAGAGAACGAAACAGAGGTTAGCAGGGATGTGATGTGATGTAGGTCAAAGGACACAAAATAGCAGATGTATAGGAAAAACAAGTAGAAGACTAAAGTTAATAAAATCATATTGCATTAGAAATTTTTGTTAAATAAGATTTTAGCTGCTCTTGTAACAAAAAAAGTAACTATGTGATGATAGATATATTAATCTGCTTCACTATTGTAACTATTTTACTATGTATATGAACCCAATATCATGTTGTAAACTTCAAATATACACAATAAAATTTATTTTTAAAAACCCACCATGATTGACTTTAAAGGGTAATGAGTCACACCTATAATCCCAGCACTCTGGGAGACCAAAGTGGGCAGATCATTCAAAATCAGGAGTTCAAGACCAGCCTGACCAACATGGTGAAACCCTGTCTCTACTAAAAATACAAAAAATTAGCCAGGTATAGTGGCACACGCCTGAAATCCCAGCTACTCCAGAGACTGAGGCAGAAGAATCACTTGTACCTGGGAGGCATGGGTTGCAATGAACTGAGATCGCACCACTGCACTCCAGATTGGGCGACAGAGTGAGATGCTGTCTCAAAAAATAAGTAAACATAAACATATATATACATACATACATACATACATACATACATACATACATAAAGGATAATGAGGTACCCATGACAGTTCCTTTGCTATTAGTATGCTTAAGTCATTCACAACTACATATTCAATTTCTAAATTGGAACTTCAAAGACAAACACTTTGCAGCTCCTAAAGAATGCACTAGATATCCTCTTAATAACTTTGCAATATATCACCTATAAGCTGAAATAGGGATCTACAAAACTGTAAGACATCTAAAAGTAGTACATGCTATTTATATTCTCTACTTACATGTTATTATAGTTATATAAGTAAAGTATTTATGCTTACTTATATATTTACTTACATCATTTTCTACTTATGTAAGTACAAATTTACTTACGCAAATACTTTAGAACTGTGTTCTTCCTTTCAACAGGGACAAGTTTTTAGCTCTGATAATCTACTAAATTAAATCCTATTGATAAGGATAATATGCCTTTTTAATGCTGATGACTCACTAAATGAAAGAGATCAAATCTAATTTATTTTTTACAAAAAAAGTCATAAAAAATCAATGGTTTGGAAATTTCCAATTCAGACAAAAAAACTCCTATTTGTATCACCTCAGCTAAGAAACCCTAAGCTTTAGGCAACTGATTTTTTTTTCAATTATTTACTGTTCATTACAACTGGGGTCCTGGAATAGTTATCTGTTGGCTTATTTTTGTAATCAAAAAAGGTAAAAGTAACATTGTATTAAAAGAGAGTAAACTTAAGTTTTTGTCTCAACTCTTCTACAAATGTCAGTAATCATAACCTTACCATTGTGTAGGGGTTTGGTCTAATACTAGACAATCAGTAAGAAATTCCTAACTCCAAATTTCTCTATTATGAATAGTAAATGCAAAGAAATATCATTTCTTTTATTGAATAATTTGTTTTGTAGAACCCTTAAGTAGAAGAGAAAAAATTTTCAATGTTATTTAATTTATCTTGAATTGAGGCTAATTTGTTATAGCATAAAGAAAATGATCCAGGAATTTCCAGGACTAAGCAAAGTCTTAAATCCTGTGGGATTTGGCTCCATTTAGTCCTGAAGAATAGGATGACCTGAGCACAAATATGACAAATCATCAACATATTTCTCTCACATCTTCCCATTTACTTCTTCATTTTTCATAACTACTGCAATCATCCTACTGTTTCTAATTTTAAAAATAAAAATCAGAAGGATATAGCCTCAAAATCTATTATAAAATGCACTTAAAAGTTCTGGCTCCACTATACATATATATGTGCATGTGTGTGTATATATGTATACGTATATACGTATGTATATATGTATACGTATGTATACGTATACGTATATACGTACGTATATACGTATACGTATGTATACGTATACATATATACACACACACAGAAACATACACATATATCATTCTAGAAAAAAAGACTAAAATATGTAGACTTGAATTTAAATACAGAGCTCAAAGAACAGCTATTTATAATCCCCAACACACCCTAAAGCTGCCAATTAAAATATATTTAAGCTTAGTGATTCCCATTCAAGTTTATTTTGAAAATAATGTAACCTACATTATCAGTTTCCCCTACCAACTTAAAATAAGCAAAGAAGATTCCTTATATATATATATATTGAAAAAACTGTATTTAAGTTTATTCTAGTACTTAAAATTTCTAAAACAGATAAATCAAAATGTGACATCAAAACACAGCTGAGGCAAACTAACCAAATTTTTATTAAAGAAGAAAATTTACCAAAGCTTAAAGCACTAACCTAGGACTTTACTGTCATCAAAATAGAAATATCATCTCTTTAATAAAAAGTTTTAAGATTTCTTTACTGACTAGATTGCCTAATTTTATGCAAGAAGGGGATCATTTGTTCTTAAAGATTGTATTTATCAAAAACTTTGTAAATTAAAAAAAGAAGAAAAAGAAATTGGGCTGGGAACAGTGGCTCATGCCTATAAGCCCAGCACTTTGGGAGACCGATGCGGGAGGATCACTTGAGCCCGAGTTGGAGACCAGACCAGGCAACACGGTGAGGCCCTGTCTCTACAAAAATAAAACACAAGCATCAGCTAGGTGTGGTGGAACATGCCTGTGGTCCCAGCTACTCGAAAGGCTAAGGTGGGAGGATCGCTTGAGCCTGGGAGGTTGAGACTGCAGTAAGCCATGATTACACCTCTGCACTCCAGCCTAGGCAACAGAGCGAGATACTGCCTCAAAAAATAAGACAGAATAAAACAAAAATTGTATTTACCAGAAACTTTCTATTTTACATAACAATTACCTTTTCTGTAATAGGAAAGAGAAGTAAGACTGCACAGACTGGTCTTGGTACCATGCTAAGGAGTTCAGGATCCATTCCATATACATCAACGAATTGCCAGTTAGGATGTAGACCTAATTGTTTAAGAAACTGGTAAAAGAAAGAAAGAAAAAAAAAACAATGGAACATTAGTTGGTAAAAGAAAACTAGTATACTATACATAGTGTTAAAAGGGAAATGATCAACAAATATGTACTCTGTATCTAATACCTATAAAGGGATAAAATACAAATGTAACTGACATTCAGTAGGAATGCAGTAAAGCAGCACATATCAAAACATCACAATGCACACTCTAAATATGTTCAATTTTTGTCAATTATACTTCAGTAAAACTAGGGGGGCAGAATGGTAGTAAAGCAGATTTTCTATGAATAGGGTGAGAAGAGATAGCAATTTATTTATAGCACATAACAAACATTTAACATTCATAACATGTGAAATAAAACCTCTTTTTTCAAACTCCATTTCTTTGGAATTGAATTTAATAAGCCTGGACTTCATCAAATACATATAAGTTGGCTTGGTTGATATGTTAAACTCATTTCCAGCACTTGGTTTTTAAGGAGAGGCATTTAAGTTATAGTAAATAAATATTTTATCAGAAAATCAACATAGTTTATCCTATTTACCAAAAATGATGTCTGAGGTTTAAAGATAGATTGATAGCCATGAATTGTATCAATGAGCAAAGAGTAATATAAGCCAAAAATGTATCTAATGCATTGTATGAACAACAGAAAATGCTGGATATAGGAAGTAAACTACTGGCTTCCTGGCCTCTACTACACAATGAAACCTACTTAACTTCATTGCCTCTCTTATATCTGGCAAAATAACTGTAACAAAAAATTAGTGTTTTTTTTACAATTCTTAAGATGTCACAGGAAAATAAAATGTCAGACCTTAATCTATCACATAGAGAAAAAATGAGAATGTCATTTTCACAATTAATAACTTTATATCGAAAGAAGCTGATAACTTTTTAAGTACATCATTACAAAATAAGTTTTAGATGATAGAAAAAAGGAATAGAGGAAACAAAAATCATATTAAAAATGCATCACTATATCTTACCTCAAGAACACATTATAGTATTTGCTGGTCTAACATCTGAAATTTTGAAATTAAAAACAAACAAAAAAGGTGCCATAGGCATTTCTCCCTGAAGAATGATCACATGTACTTAGATCATCAAATGAGGTCTTGCAAAACCAGTGGAAGCCATGACACGTATATAAACAGTGCTATTCATCTCACATGCATTTGAGTTTTGTAAGACAAGACCTTCCTGTTTAAAGGGCAACTATCCTTATCCCTTCATTTCTCTGCTTGTAGAAGATAATCTACTTGCTAATGATATCATTGGTCAAAAATAAGGTTCTAGGTATGTTTAATAAGAAACGTAGTGATTTATAAAAACTTTCTTAGAAGAATGTGTTCAGCAAAGATTAGGTTCATTCTTGGAACAAGTCACATGCCCTATAAGAGTCCGGGGCTGAGGGCCGGGCGCGGTGGCTCACGCCTGTAATCCCAGCACTCTGGGAGGCCGAGGCGGGTGGATCACGAGGTCAGGAGATCGAGACCATCCTGGCTAATACGGTGAAACCCCGTCTCTACTAAAAATACAAAAAAATTAGCTGGGCGTGGTGGCTGGCGCCTGTATTCCCAGCTACTCGGGAGGCTAAGGCAGGAGAATGGCATGAACCCGGGAGGCGGAGCTTGCAGTGAGCAGAGATTGCGCCACTGCACTCCAGCCTGGGCTACAGAGCCAGACTCCGTCTCAAAAAAAAAAAAAAAAAAAAAAAAAAAGAGTCCGGGGCTGAGGAGATCAATGGGCTCCTCTACATTATATCCATTCTTACTTGGTTCTATTTATAGTTCACTAAAGCACTTCGAACTACTTCCTGCTCCTTTCTCCACTTCCTGCAAGCTTCCTAGTCTATGCTTTTTCAGTATTCAATTCTATCTAAAAACCAAAAAGGATAAAAATTAACTGCCAAGTCAAGGGAAAAAACTGTGTCTTATTCAATGTTTTTAATCTCATTGCCTAGCACTGTACATGGCTGAATCACAGACACCCAAGGTATATTTCTAGAACTGACTAAAGATTACATCTCTACTTTAGTAGATAACCTAGCCATCTGTATGTCTATATACATCAGTGAAGCCTCTGTATAATGAGGAAAAGAAGTAGAAAAGATACCTTTGGCTCCTAATCTAAAACCCTAGCATTCATTAATCAAATCAGAAGACTACCTAAATTGCCTTTTAAGGAAAAGTATCATGAACCCTGATAAGAGAATTTAAATTTATTTGTTAATTTTATGTACCCACAAAGTCATCCTGTTATAAAGTTATAAAACACGATGGTACATACAACAGAGCAATTTTACATCTGTGCTGCAAACTAAAAGTCACAGTTAGAATATTTTAGTGAAAGGTCTGGACAAAATCAGCAAGTACTGTAAATCAGTTCACTGCAAATCTACTCTATGTCAGCCAAAGCTAACAAGTACAAAAAGTACTAGGAACCAAACGCAGCCACTGTAGTGATACCAATTAGTATCAAACTGAGGACATAATGAATGATCCAATAGTAGATAAAATCATAACTTGATTAAATTTTAACCAGAATCATGCTTTTTAACTTCTTACTCATATCAACAATTAAATGAGATAGATATAAAGAAATTCAATGCAACTAATATCTACTGAATATATTGTTAGATCCTGACTCCAGATTGCCATGAGTCAGGCTCACCAGAAGCTATCTGAATACAAAGAATAAAAGCAGCTATAAAGACTACCTCTGGGAAATGGAGAAAGGGTAGAGAAGAGGGTCAACTTTTACCACTCACGTCTTCAAAAAAAAAAAAAATCATTAAAATGTCCTACTTTTACAATTAAAAAAAAAAAACCCTGTGTTTGAAATGATCATATGCAAATACAGAAAGATAGGAAGGAAATTTTCTAAAATGTTAGCAGTTAGCTTGGGTGGTGTGAATCCACCTTTCTATTTTCTAGTATTTTATAAAAGCATTAGTTTTACAATAATTATATGTAGCTGTAAGTTACAAATCTATAGAACTGATACACATATGTATTCTATTTAAATTTACAAAACTGGGAGAAAACACAAAATGATGGTCTTAAAACTATACCAAAAATATTTTTCCAGACTGCTCACAAAGATAATTATCTATACATGCATTTGCAAAGCCATCTCTACACAGTTAATTAGAAGCATCCCATTTACATCAAGCAGGATAAAAGGTTTCATAACCTCTATCACCAGTCTTCTGGCTTTTCAAACTTAAATATTGAGTAATAAAATAACCAAAAAAACCTCTGACTAACTCAACAAATTTTCACAATGCCTCTAAAATTTTGGCCAATTGAGAAAAATAATTAATAAATTATAGTATTTGGCTGTTAAAAAATCTTCAGTCAACTTATTCTTTTTATTCTATGGTCCAATGACAAATTTTTCACTAGATAAAGAATATTTAAAATTATTTGTAAATATGTTTTGAGACCCTTGTATGTGAGGAGCTAGGAGCAGTACCCACTTCACCTCTACTGCCATGGCAAGGCAGGTTTCATTTTATCTTCCTTTTTTTTTTTCAGACAGGGTCTTGCTCCATTGCCCAGGCTGGAGTGCAGTGACAACAATCACAGCTCACTGCAACCTCTAATTCCTGAGCTGAAGGAATCCTCCTGCCTCAGCCTCCCAGATAGCTGAGACTACAGGCATACATCATCACAGCCAGCTAAATTTTTTTATTTTTTAGTAGAGACGTCTCACTATGTTGCCCAAGCTGGTCTGAAATCCTACACTCAAGCAATCCTCTGGCCCCGGCCTCCCAAAGTGCTCACTAGCTGTGAACCACTGCACTCAACCCAGTGTATCCTTTTACCAGCCAATAAGAAAACTACGTCTGGGAGGTTAAGTGCTTTTTCGAGGCCACCTGCCAGAACTCACATGCAAGGATCTGAACACTATGGCACCTATTTACTTTTCCAGCTTCATTTCTCTCTGCCCAGAGTATCTTTTTGGTACTTTATTCTCTAACTTGGCCACAATGAACTCCTGAGAGTTTTCAAACTGTCTATAACCATCTCTTCCCTCCAGGTTTTTGCATACAAACTAGACTTAAAAACCTAGACACACAAACGAGTCTTAAAAACCTGTTCGTTCCTGTCCCTAAATTATAACAAATTCTTCCTCATTCTTTAGGTGACAGTCAAATAACAAAAACTCTGATTTTATAAATTAAAAAAATAGATAAAATTCACTTTCCTTTCAAATTTGTTCTTAAAGCCACTTCCTCTGGTCTTTAATGGTCTGTTCAGGGCAGCCAGAGATTCTGCCCTGTTACTAATTTATTAATGATTTGAATTATGATGTAAAATTATACTTACCTAGCAATTACTTGATATTACTGCCAGTAAACTAGTATTAACTGCTAAATGTAGAAGTAGAATAACTATTAGTTAAATGAGAAAATGGCAGTGTAGAAACTAGCAAAAATAAATTTTAATGAGACAGAATAATTATTAAAGTACATAATGAGGAAACACTGAAAACACTTTATGTGTGGATTAAGAAAAAATGAAGTTTACTTCACTGCAGGCTCAATATGGACTAACTACAAAATTGCCAACAAAGGTGATACAATGTTAGTTTGCTTTAAAAGAAGGATCATTTAAGATAATGTAATAGCCCACTGTACTCGACATAGATTACTCAGCAGAAAATATGCCTATAGGAGGCATATTTTATGAAAGTCAATGACCAAGAAAAGAAAGCCCAAAGGCAGGTGACCAGTATGATAAGGTTCTGGAAGACATCACAGCTAAAGTTTCTAAGCATGTTCAGAGAGGACTTAAATTACTATGATCCCTGTCCCTGGATATTTTTAGTAATATCATAAAATAGCAATTGGGAGCCAGGTACAGTGGCACATGCCTGTAGTCCCAGCTACTCAGGAGGCTGAGGTGGCAGAATTGTTTGACCCCAGGAGCTGGAGGCCAGCCTGGGCAACATAGTGTGACCTCCATCTCAAAAAGAAATAAATTTTTTTAATTTAAAGAGTTTTTTAAAGAGCAATTAGATTTACTCTATGGTTTCAATGAGAATGATAGACAACTGGAGAAAGTTACGGGAAAGCAGATTTTGTTTCAATAAAAGAAATATAATTCTTCTACTTATATATTATTATAATAAAAAATTAAACCACTTTAAGAGATAGAATGCTGCTCATTGAACTAGGCAAAGGATTCATGACCGCATTAAAGATAATGTTGGGAGATCTTCTGGAGCAGGAAAGCAGCTTTATAAGATCTATTCATTCTTCCATCTGACAACTACATATTTGTTGATGGCCCCGTGAGCCTGGCACCGTTCTCATACTTCAGACGCATCCCTGCTCTCACAGAACTTATATTCTAGTGGTAAGATACACATGATAAACAAGTATACACATAAACAAGATAATTTCACAAAGTGGGAAGTACTGTGAAGAAAATAAAACAAGTGAGGATGACAGTACAGATTTGGGGGGCTAATTTAGCTGTGTACTCAAAGACTCACTGATGAGATGACTTGAACTTGAGCCACAGATGACAAGAACCTACCATGAAACAAACAGGAGTGGATGACTCAAGCAAAGGATGAGCAAGTGCAAAGACTCTGAAGCAGGAACAGACTCCACATTCGAAGACTGCAGCACAGCATGAGCGGGTCAGAGATGGGCAGTACCTCCTCATTCAGCCATGATAAAAGCTTGAAATGGAGCTGGATGCCATTATCCTTAGCAAACTAATGCAAGAACAGAAAACCAAATACCGCATGTTCTCACTTGTGAGAGCTAAATGATGAGAACACATGGATACAAAGACAGGAACAGACATTGGAGCCTACCTGAAGGTGAAGGCTGAGGAGAGGATCAGAAACAATAACTATTAGGTACTAGGTTTAGTACCTGGGTGATGAAATAATCTGTACAACAAATCCCTGTGACATGAGTTTACCTATATAACAAATCTACACATGTACCCCTGAAGCTAAAAGTTTAAAAAAACAAAAAAGTTTCAAGTATCTTCTAAGGACAAGCATTGGAAGACCAGTAGAGTATGATAAGCAGGAAGTCATAAGATGTGATTCTCATTTATTTAAGGCCACTTTGGGTGCATATGGAAATTAGATTTTAGGGAAGCAAAAGGAGAAGCAGAAGAACTAGTTAGGAGCCTACTATAGTTGTCCAAGCTAAGGATGGTGGCTTGCACTGTGGCAGCTGAAATGGAATAGCCATATTTGGAATAGCCGTATTTGGAATAGCCTTTGCAAGAAGAGTCCATAAGAGTTGCAGATCAATTAGATCTGAGGAATGAGAAATAGAATATTAAAAATAGCCGACATTCATGGAGAGCATGCTTTGTTCAAGACATTGTTCTACATATTTTATATGTAGTAATTTGATCCTTATAGTGATCTTACAAGATTAGAAGAGATTATAAGAAATGAAGGAACTAGTTGTTTGAGGCCAGGCATTTGAGACCAGCCTGGGAAACAGAGTAAAACCATCTTGTCTCTACAAAAAATACAAAAATTAGCCGGGTGTGATGGTGCAAGCTTGTATCCTACCTACTTGGAAGGCTGAGGTGTGAGGAGTGCTTGAGCCCAGGAATTCCAAGGTTACAGTGAGCTATGATTGTGCCACTGTAATCCAGCCTGCCTGGGAGATAGAACAAGACCCTGTCTTTAAAAAAGGAAAAAAGAAAGAAAGAAATTAAGGAACTAAGACACAAAGAGGTTAGATAACTGTCCATGGTCTCAGAGCTGGTAGATAGCAAAGCAGAGATTACAATCCAAGAATCAAATCAAGATACTACGGCCTCTCTGGAATGGCAATCTGAAAGAAGAATCAACGGCATCAACTCATCACCTCAAACACTGCATGGATGGCTATGCCCTTGGAAGATGGGGAAGAAAAGGGTTTAGAGCAGAGATGGGAAGATGAAAACCCATATTTCTTTTTTGGCCATATTAACTTTAAGGTATCTATAAGACATCCAGATGGAGATACCAAAGAGTTAGCTGAATATACAGGTTTCCAATTTGGTGGCAATGTTAGGGTTTCAAGGAACATGGGGTCATCTATGTGACAATTGATGGTATTAGAACTATACAACAGAAAACATTACTAGGGCAAGAAAACACATAAAAAAGATGAGCAGTCTAGGATGAAGTGGCTGAGGCGCTCCTTAGAAGTTGGAAGGGAGATGATCTAGCAACAGAGACTCTTCGAAGCAATTAGGAAAATAGAGGACCATCAGAATTCTCACAGAAGCCAAGAAAAGATAATGTTTCAATAAAGATGGAGTGAGCTATTCTACCAAATGCTGCTGAAAGGTCAAGAAATATGGTGACAGAAAAGTGATCACTGGATCTGGCAAAGTGGCAATCATTAGTGAACTTGACAAAAAAAGTTACTACGAAATGGTACACACAGAAGCAAGCTACACAGGAATGAATAAGGAAAAGAATGTGAGATGAGGTAGCAGTTGCAGCAGCTATGAACAATTCTTTGTGGAAAGTTTACAAAGAAGGAAAACAGGTAAGGCAGCAGCTCAAGGAGGACAGGATAACAAAGATTTTTTTCCTAAAATGGTATCTACTAATTAGAGAATTCTTATGAGAATTTATATGATTTATTTATTGTGATTATTTAAGGCAATAAGCCAGCAGATGACCTCTAATTCTTTTTCTAACTCTAAGCATACAGGCTAAATAGAATAGTTATGCTAAAGTAAATTTATTTCCCTTTCGGTATTACGCTAGAAAATATTTTGCCTCCTCAATAAAATCACGAGTAGGAATAATAATCCTTGGGGTGGAGAGGGGTCCATATAAACAAAAATCATTAGTTCTGAAGCACAACAATATGTAAAATATACATAATGTGGTTGTACTGTACTCAAATCACAAAAAATAATCACAATGAAGATTTAGTACGGTCATAAATAATAATAATTGCCTATATCACACTCTATAAATGTTGTAATTCTTGATGTTTAATTATCTGTAACTTTCAGCTGCAAGCTGCATTTACCCCTTTAAATGCATAGGTAAATAAAGTAGAGTTTAAAATGTTTAAATAATTTTTTTGATCACTTAACTCATTTTATTCTGATTAAGTCCTACCTGTAGCATAACACAGTATCCTTAAAAGGGCTGACAGCATACTAACCAACAAGAGAAATCACTGTCTACCACATCTGCTGAGACACATGGTTACTAGCTAATGTCTAACAATTAATACTCATCTGCATATAGTAGACATGTGATGGCCATTCTTATACAACACTAGGCATCATCAGAGCCTAAAGCAGTATTTGCTCACATTGATTATAATAACAACACATGCAATTACCAGATGGTAACAGAGTGAGTTCAAGATCCTACCATTCCATTAGGTTGAGGAAATAAAAGAGAGTGGGATGGATATTGCTGTTAGGGTTTATTCATTCTCCAAATTCTAAGTCAGTTAACTAAATTTCTATCCATCTTCTATTCTTGGTTCTGCCACTAAAACATAGAGAATAAAGAAACAACCACAAAATTTTTAGTTATAACCGTTTCTTACATACTTGCCCATTCTCCCACTAAAAGCACATTATTTCTTTAAAAAATCAATTTAAAACAAACTAAATCATGCCAAAGCATGCCAGATATAATGTACAATCATATACTAAATAACATTGTTTGTCTGTTTATATCATCTCAGAAAGGTCTCCTGTCACTATTCCATGTATTACATTTTCCCTGATGGTCTCTATCAAAGCACTATGTTCTTTTTCTTATTGTACTTATAATAAATGCTAATGACTTGTTTGCTTGTTTACTGTCTTTCAACTGGATTGAAAAGCAGAAAACCATGAATATTTTAATCACCAAAGAATCACCAGCTCCTGTTCAGATTACTGGTATTAAAAAAGGTGCCCCTAAAATATTAATGTGTTTGATAGTTTTTCAAGACACCCTAGAAACAAGGTCCACTAGCAGCTGAATCACAGGACGTAAGTTCCTACTTACACAAACTTAGTTTGTTAAAACAATCAACATCATCTAAAAAGTTTTGTTTTTTAGTCTATTGATATGGTTAATTACATTGATTTTTGAATGGTGAACCAGCTTTGCAACACCAGGATAAACTGCTCTTGGTCATATGTTACTTTTTATATATTTATTGCTGCATTCTATTTGCTAATATTTTGTAGAGGATTTCTTACATCCATGTTCATAAGGGATACTGATTTGCAGTTTTCTTAATATGAATTGTCTAGTTTGGCGTCAGGATAATGCTAGCATAAAATGAGTTAGGAAGTGTCTTTTTTTTTTTTTTTTGAGACAGAGTCTTGCTCTGTCATCCAGGCTGGAGTGCAGTGGCACAATCTCGGCTCAATGCAACCTCCGCCTCCCGGGTTCAAGCGATTCTCCTGCCTCAGCCTCCCAAGTACCCGGGATTACAGGAGTGTATCACCACGCCCGTCTAATTTTTGTATTTTTAGCAGAGACGGGGTTTCACCAGCCAGACTGGTCTCGAACTCCTGACCTCAGGTGATCCGCCCACCTCAGCCTCCCAGAGCGCCAGTGCTAGGATTACAGGCGTGAGCCACCGCGCCTGGCCGTCTCCCCTCTTTTATGTTTATGTAGAATTGGTATTATTTCTTCCTTAAATGATCATCTCAAGAGATGCAGAAAAATCATTTGCGAAAAGTCAACATAGATTCATAAGAAAAACTCTCAGCAAACTAGGGGGAAAAGAGGAACTTCCTTAGCCTGATTTAAAAAACATTTACCAAAAACCTAAAGCTAACATATTTAATGGTGAAAGATCAAATGTTTCCTCCCTAAGATAGAGAGCAAGACAGAGGATGTCTCTTTGTCCAGGGAATTTGCTACAAGCTTTGAAAACCAAAAACCAATATTTTTAAGAACACGGTGAATTGTTCCTTGGTGATGAGAAGGAAGATAGTGGAGGTAAAGGGAGTATGATAAACTAGGAGAGCAGTAAAAAAGAAATGAGCTGTTGAGAATGAAAAAAAAAAAAAAAACAGGGTAAAATAAGGCACACCTGAGCAGATCAAAAGTTTATACCTGGTAGCACTTACTCTTCTGAGTGGCTGGGAGATGTTCCCTCCTCCCTCCCCAACCCCCAACCTCCAACACCCAGAAGGAACTTAAATTGCTATAGATTGCAAAGAATGGCGTGGGAACTATTAAACTGAGCTTTCTTTGATACAACAGCAACTAAATGTCCAGCTTTAAAAGACTGGAAGATAAAGGGGGCGTGGCGGGGAAGAAAAGTGACTTCATGGGGCAAGAGATGATTGGAAGATGATTTCATAGTGCAGGCGGTGGATGAAATTACAAGGACTGGGTGGGCGAGTTTACAAAGCTTGGAGTCAGGAAGTGTGGGCAAATTAGTCATCCAAAAGGTACACCGGTAGGAAAATTATGGAATCGGCACTAACAGGAGGCAAAACGAAGAAGGAAGGGGAATAGGAATACAGGGTAAAAGTCCCTCCAAACCTCAGACCCGGAGTCCCCAAGATACGTGGTGACTGCAGAATGGGACCAGAGGAGTGGTGGGAGAATCTTCAGGAGCCAGGTGGCAGCGAGATGGCCCTTTCTGAAAGGGGCGGACCCGCGTAAAGCCGAACAAGAGGGGCCCTCAAGAAATTAAATCCCAGAATCCCTGGAAGCGTGGAGGTGGAGTCCAGCAGGGAAGCGGACCGAGCAGACAGAAAAGACTCCGAGGTCCCGAGCGACAGACACCTCACTCACCTGGTTGGTGACCTGAAAACGAAACAGAGAACACGCTTTAGAGACAAACCACCGTGGACTCGCGGCAGCAAGCCGGCTCCCTCTGCACCTGCCCACGGCCCAGGGCTGCCCCGAAGCGCGCCCACCTCGGGATTGGCCTCCAGCGGCAGCCAGCGTTGACCCTCCATGGCCGCGGTGCCCGGCCCTCCAGCTCTGACAGCCGCCGCCTTCGCCGCCGCCGCCGCTTCCGCCCACGCGCGCCTTGACCTGGGCCCTCCCAACACACCGCCCGGAGGAGGAGCGCCTAAACACCAAAAAGAGTTTGACGGGCCTCTCACCCTCTTAACCGCTCCGTGCAGGGCCGTAGGTCAAGTGTCATATTTTAAATTAAGATGCTGCCGAGGAGAAAAAAATAAGCCAATTTCCTATTTCGGGAGAAAAACAGTATCTGAATCCACAGCCCTCTCCCCTCACGCTTGGACTCTTCCGAGCCGAGCCTTGCCGAGCGCTCGCGTTCTACGCATGCGCCTTGCGCCGGTCTGGGACCGCGTGGTCACCCGCACCTTCCCATTCTTGCAGTGTCAACCGACTGCGCTAGGAGGCGTGCCGCGGAGTCCTATTCTGAGACAGACGCCAGGTGGCTACCCATTGCCAGGCAGCAAGGCCGGAGGACGCCGTGCAGCACGGTGCTGTTGTTCGTTTGTCGGGGTGCAGGAGTGATGGGTTGGCCTTGTCTGCTCTTGCGGGAGGCAGCGGGTGTTTCTATATATCCGATTCCATTTGACAAAAAATGTCGAGTACTAGAAATCACTGTACTAAGTATTGACACAAAGTTGAGTTCACTGTAGAGTAGAGGCAGTGGACAAGACAACGGAGAATCAGGATAAAAAGCGTGGTACCTATATGATAGTGATGGCATGAAGTGTGCTGGAATTACGGAGGAAGGGGGAAGAGAGTGTCCAGAAGTCTTCCTGAAAAAGTGGATTCCTGGACTGAACCCTTAAAAGATGGTAGACTTTACCTAGGCAGAGAGGAAGGTGCTGTGAAGAAGGGAAAACGCACTGTGGCTGCAGAGTAAAGGGTGCTGATTAGAGGTGATGCTGTAGAGGTAAACAGAGGCAACCCGGTCAAGACATCTGGGCTTCCTGAAAACAGCAAGGAACCACTGAAGGATCTTAAGCAGGATTTGTCATGTATCTTTTTCACCAAACTGCAAATTCCAGGAGCCCAGTAGCAGTGTCTCTTTTTTCTTCTTCACATTATTTATCCAGGGCCTAACCCAGTGCATGATACATAGAAAATGCTCGGTAAACATCTGAAGAATAAATGGGATGATCAGATATGCAGAAACATCACTTGTCAATAATGTGAAAAACGTGTGAGAAATAAATGCTGAAAAAATTAAAACAGTAGCCACGGAGAAAGGCACAGATTAAAGAGATTCTGTTTTAAGGGATGATGCCTTTGATGAGCAGAAGTTATCAATGATAACTCCATAAATTTGACCTGGGGAAGAGTGCATATTACTATTCTGCACCTAATAGAGGAAATTCAGGTAGAGAGCAGTTAGGGAGTCAGAAAAAGATAATATTATGCTGAGCTTATATTTCTTGGGAAACTTCCAACTCTCCCACCCACGTTCTTCTGGCCACTGTTCTTTGACTTCAGAGGTATTTCATTACCTTAACTCCTCTTCATCGTTATCTAATGGATTGCTGCTATACTCACCTAACACTTTGGCTTGGTAAAACTGGCAGTGTCCAGCTCGTGATGGGCTTAGTTGCATTATCACTAGAGTTACATTGCCAGACTCTTAGTCTCTGCTGGACTCAGTGCATGCCAGGGGCTGCTTTTCAAATTACTTACTGTCAAAGGAATTGCCTTGTTCCAGATCCCTGAGGTTCTGCACTGTGATTCACCTGTTAGGGTTGCTTAAGACTTCACACAGCATCTTTATCTTCCAGGGACACTAGCAGCATTGGATCTGCTGAGACACAAGGCCGGACAGCAAGACAGTTTGCATCCCAGCAGGGACTTGCTGCAGAGCACTGTCTTGCTAGGGATACACTCAAATTGGTAGCTTTCCATACCACCCAATAAATGTGTTGAAGCTGTATTCCCAAGTGTATATTCTATCTCCAAAAGCCAAAGAGGCCCAGTAGGTTCTCTGCCATTTTGCTGTGAATAGGAATTGCAAGATGCAATAACTTGTCTTTCACCTTACAGAGGTTGTCCTAGCACACCCCAGACCTTTAGACCCATAAAACCCTTACAAATGTAGGACTCTAATTTGTAGAGTTAAACTGTACATTTTAACTTCCACCGTCTGGTTTATATGGTTTATACAGTTTAACCTACACCGTCTGGTATGGATGTACCTATCATGGTATTGAGGGCAGCATGTCTCAGAGGTGCATAAAAACACCTGGGGAATATGAAATGCAGATTTTGATTCAATAAGTCTGAGACAGAGCCCAAGATTGGGCATCACTGGTTCTAATTTTTTAATCTTCCCTTTACCCACATCCTTTGCCATATGACTTTGAAGTTTTACAAAGTTCTGTCCATCCTCATTATTTATGGGTTTTGCATTTTGAACCTGCCTACTTGCTAAAATTTATTGGTAATTCCCAAATCTATACTCACAAAGTTGTCGTGGTCACTCACAAATATTCACAGGATGACAAAAAATTGTAGTTCCCAGCCAAGGTTGAGCAAGGTGATACTCTGCCTTCTTCTTGCAGCTCTTATACTGGAAACGAGAGTCCTCTTGATGGTCTATTTAATGCTCATTTTCCCATTTTTGAGATTTTTGTCAGTGAATTCAATGTTTAAAATGGCCCCCAAGCATCGTGCTCAACTGCTATTTAGTAATCCCAAGCCCAAGGAGGCTTTCATGTGCCTTACAGAGAAAATACACATATTAGATAAGGTTTGTTCAGGTTTTCACTTACAGTGCTGTTGGCTGTAGTTCAATGCTAATGAATCAACAATATATATTACATAAGGTGTTTTTAAACAGAAATACACATAAAACAAGGTTATGTATTGATTAGCTAATGAAAATATTGTGACCACAGGCTCACAGGAACCTAACCTGTATTTCCCCTAGAAGCAACGATTTAGTATTTGCTAATTCAGTGTTCACGGCAACTTTATAGATCATCAACTAAAACATTGTACATCCCCTTCTTGTGAGTATGCACAATATCATCACAGGAGAAGATTTTCTTAAATATTTTACAGTTTTCAATTAAATATAGTGGCATGCCTATGCACAGTGTCATAGTGTCATGCCACTTATTTACATAAATCCATGCACTTTTAGTATCTTTAGCATTGACAGTATAATTTTGATGGTTGTCAAAGGATATAAAGGTTTATCGCTATTTCCTACTTGACTAAGCATATAGTTACATTTTGCAGCAACTGCTGAATCATACATCTTTGGAAATTTAATAGCTTCTATTCAAAGACAAGCAGGAAGTTTTTGACAAATTAATGTTTGATGCCTTAACAAGAGTACTTGTGACTCAAAAAACTGTTCTCTCATCCTAATACATTTTTTTCTTATATTCTGAGGGATTTGGTGATTTCTCCAACCTTAAACTGAAATAAGCAACTTGAGTAACTTATCTACTCAAAGCTATCCACCTTTTTTAGGAATTGTAAATTATTTGGTTACTTTGCAAGAATACATGGAATTGTGGCTATTCCTCCAATAGTCCATATTTGCCTCACCAGTGCAAGTTTGCAACCTGTTGTTCTGTTCATGCTTATTTCCATACCCAGTAACTTTTTGTTTTGCCAAATTACAGCATAGCCTTTTAAAAGACATTTTAAATGTCAATGTTTTAAAATTTTATTTTTCAATTTTTGGGGATACTTGGTAGGTATATATATTGAAATGGGTACATGAAATGCTTTGGTATAGGCATACAGAGTGAAATAAGTACATCATGGAGAATGGGGTATCCATCCCCTCAAGCATTTATCCTTTGAGTTACAAACACTCCAATTATACTCCTTAAGTTATTTTTAAAATGTACAATTATTATTGACTATAGTCACCCTATTGTGCTATAAATGGCAATTAACCATAGTAAATATAGAGCAAACAATATTCATAACTCTATAGAAGTGTAGAAGAGCTATGAAGAAGTTCATGCATGCACCTGCAAAAACAACTGAGTCACGACTACTACCCTGATTAACTATCACTTTAAGAAGCCATCTGAGGCTGGGCTCGGTGGCTGACACCTGTAATCCCAACATTCAGGGAGGCCGAGGCGGGCAGATCATGAGGTCAGGAGATCTAGACCATCCTGGCTAACATGGTGAAACCCGGTCTCTACTAAAAATACAGAAAATTAACCAGGCGTGGTGGCGGGCGTCTGTAGTCCCATTACTCGGGAGCCTGAGGCAGGAGAATGGTGTGAACCGAGGAGGCGGAGCTCGCAGTGAGCAGAGATAGCGCCACCGCCACGGCACTCCAGCCTGGGTGACAGAGCAAGACTCCATCTCAAAAAAAAAAAGAGAAAAAGAAAAAGAAACCATCTGATGTAATGGTCACTATAATTCCTGATGTAAATGTGAAAAAATACATGTCTAAGAATTGATGAAATTTGCTATTTGTACAACACCTGACTTAAGTTTGTCATCACAGTTGTAACCAGCCCAGGGAATCTTTCACGTTCAGGCCCCACCTAACTGCCCCTAGGGCTGTGGGGTTGGGCGGGGTCAGTCTCTCTGTATACCTGTAACTCATTCATGGCACTTCACTTTGACTACTCACCATCTTATATTACTTATCTTAATAGCAGTATGTCCAGCTTCCTTCCTGCTGCATGGGTTTGTACCCATCATCTGCCTTGAATGTATGTTGTATTGCCAAACTATCATTCCTAAACGTGGCCTTTTGGCAGTGCTTGAAAACATACCAATGCCTTACGTAATTAGGCCTTGTCCTCAGAATGAACTCATTCTCCACACTTGATCAGAAATCATGACTATCTAGCTGTGTTTCTCTAAACCAGGCACTTTACCTACTTAAGTCTTGTTTTTTGTTTTTTTTTTTTTTTTGGAGACAGAGTCTTGCTTGGTCGCCCAGGCTGGAGTGCAATGGAGCGATCTTGGCTCATGGCAACCTCCGCCTCCCAGGTTCAAGCAATTCTAGTGCCTCAGCCTCCCAAACAGACGTGCACCACCAAATTTTTTGTATTTTATTTTATTTTATTTTATTTTATTTCTGAGACAAAGTCTCATTCTGTTGCCTAGGAGTGCAGTAGCGCGATCTCTGCTCACTGCAACCTCTGCCTCCTGAGTTCAAGTGATTCTCCTGTCTCAGCCTCCAGATTAGCTGGGATCACAGGTGTGTGCCACCACACCCGGCTAATTTTTGTATTGTTAGTAAAGACAGGGTTTCACCATGTTGGCCAGGTTGGTCTCGAACTCCTGACCTCAAGTGATGCACCCACCTCAGCCTCCCAAAGTGCTGGGATTACACCATGTGAGCCACCATGCCTGGCTGGTCTCACTTTTTTTAACACTAGACTCTTCAACCTTTAAGCCGAAGGTTGAAAACTATGTCTTGAAGTTTTCAAATGTGTGAAGTAGACAGGAGAAATGAAAGAGTGATGTAAGGACTGTGACAACTGGAAGGCATAAAACTTTTCTAAGTGCATTCTCATTCGGAGTTTCTGATATAGATTGTTTTTTGTTTTGTTTTGTTTTTCAATCATGTGAGTAGGCCAAATTTGGCCTAAAGGCTAAAAATTTTAAGTCCCACTTTAAACTCTAAAACTTCCATGATTATAGGATTAGTGATCATGCTTATTCCCGGTTCTGCATCTTACTGATGCTGCTTGATGATTACCCCACCTCCCCCCCACCCACCACCACCACAACACACACAGAATCACTCATCTTCTTGAATAACCTGGAGTACAAATAAAACAGTCAATTAGCAGAAAGTAGCTGAGGAGCATTTCAGCAGATACACTGGGAGTCAGGAATCTCTCCAGAGCTCTCTGAAATTAGATTGCAAATTGTAAATTAATACCAGACTGCTTTAAGTTTTACTTATTAGCTAGGTGCTGTTGCTTACCATTCCTGAACTTCAGTTTTCTCACCTTTAAAATAGAGATAATGTATGATCTACATAACCTATAGGCTTCTTTGGAGTATTGAATATCGTGCTGATGACAATAGCATCTAGGATTTATCAGCACTTACTATGTTCAGAACCTTTGTTACATGCTTTACATACAAGATCTCATTTATCCCTTAATAAAAACCTTGTGGGACAAATATTGATAGCTCTATTTTTACAGCTAAGAAAGCTGATGCTCAGAAAAGCCAACTTGAATGATATCACACAGCTGAGTGGTAGAAGAGGGCTTTAGATTCAGGCCTAGGTGACTGTCAAGATCGCAGCACTCATTGTTATGCTCTACTCTGTCAAATTCCTACTGCTGCTATAACAAATTACCATACATTTAGTGGCTTAAAACAACACAAATTTGTATCTTATGGTCTGAAGTTCAAAAGTCTGAAATGGGGCTCACTGGGCTAAAATCACAATGTTGACAGGGCTGTGTTCCTTCTGGAAACTATTTGGGAGATATAAGGGAGAGTCCATTTTCTTTCCTATTCCAGCTGTTTTTTTTCTTTCCAACTTATATTAGGTTAAGGGGATACATGTATAGGTTTGTTACATGGGTAAATTGTGTGTCAGGGGGGCTCAGCATACAGATTATTTCAACACCCAGGTAATGAGCATAGTACCAGATAGGTCATTTTTCAATCCTCGCCTTCCTCCCACTCTCTACCCTCAAGTAGGCCCCAGTGTGTGTTCCTTTCTTTATGTTCATGTATACTCAGTGTTTAGCTCCCACTTATAAGTGAGAACATGTATTTGTTTTTCTGTTTCTGCATTAATGTGCTTAGGATAATGGCCTTCAGCCCCATCCATGTTGCTGCAAAGGACATGATTTTGTTCTCTTTTATGGCTGTGTAGTATACCATGGTGTATATGTACATTTTCTTTATCCAGGTACACCACTGATGGGCATCTAGGTTGATTCCATGTCTTTGCTAATGTGCCCATTCTAGCTTCTAGAAGCAGCCTTCCTTCTTTGGCTCTTGGCCTCCATCTGTCTTCAAAATCAGCAAAGGCTGGCTGAGTCTCTCACATGGAATCTATCACTCTAACACTCCCTCTCTGTCTCTGACTCTAACTCCTCTGCCTCTACCTTTCATCTTTAAGGACCCTGTGAATACACTGGACTCATCTGAGGAATCCAAGAAACTGTCCTCCTTTTAAAGTCAGCTAATTAGCAACCTTAATTCCCCCTTTTTATGTAATTGTGAAAATTGTAAGAATCATAATGGAGTCACTTGTGTTAAAAAGAAAAAAAAGGGCTGGGTGCAGTCACTCACGCCTGTAATCCCAGTACTTTGGGAGGCTAAGGTAGGTGGATCACCTGAGGTCAGGAGTTCGAGACCAGACTGACCAACATGGTGAAACCCTGTCTCTACTAAAAATACAAAATTAGCTGGGCATGGTGGCGCATGCCTGTAATCCCAGCTACTTGAGAGGCTAAGGCAGGAGAATCACTTAAGCTCAGGAGGCAGAAGTTGCAGTAAGCTGAGAACGCACCATTGCACTCCAGCCTGGGCAACAAGAGTGAAACTCTGTATCAAAAAAAAAAAAAAAAGGAAAGAAAGAAAAAGAAACCTTGACAAATAGAGCTGGGGAAGGCCATGAGACAGCTTTCATGCATAAATGCCAGATAACAAAAACCATCACAAAAGACTCTGCCAATACCACAACCTTGCACAAAGGCCATTGCACCCTTACACAAAAAATACTTTTGCAAGGTCATCTGCCCAGCAACTGCCTGTCCAGCTAATGACTGGCATCACCCTTGTTATTAATACTTGTAGGCAAGGAAAATTATCACAAAACAATTATGTAATCATCCTCATTTTTCCATTAAAAACCTTTGTCTTCCTTTACCTCCTTGAATATGCACATAGTTTACTATGGCATATGTATTTCTGCTGCAATGCCCTATGCGCAAATAAATATTTTCTTTTAGAGAGCCTCTGTCTGTTATTTAAACATGCACCATAACATATTCATAAATTCTGGGGATTAGAAAGTAACATATTTGGGGGGCCATTATTCTGCATACCATATCCATTGACTACACAGGATAGTGTATTGTAATACAGTATAGTAAATATGTTGAGTGCACATTTATTTTGTTTCCCTAGTATATTTGCACCCAAGCTTTGTTGCCTCATTCTCACCTCCATCTTCTCTAGAGCATGGCTTTTCACCCCTTTTACTTCCAGTGACTCTACCAATCACACAACTCTACGCCTTATGAACACAGCAGGCAACATGGGCAAAAATAGTAACACATCACTCCAGACCCGTATTGGTCCAAGCAGATCAACTAGAGTCCTTCTCTGAGAATTGAGATGAACGGGCAGCTTCCTCTTTCTCCTTGGATCATGAGTCATAAGGCTGTGAACCCAGAGATGTTGGTGGTCATATGTCTATATATACACACTACTCTCCAACAATGTATGGAGAAGCTGAAGAGACCGAAGCCAGCAGTCAAGCAGAAGGCCATACCACAACTGAGAAGTGGAGATGGGGCACTTTTGCTATTCACATCTCACAATTCTGTTGACCCTGAAGCTGCTACCACTACATTTCAAAGGCTGCCTCTGTGAGACAATAATTTCTGCTACTTTGCTTAGGCTAGCTCAAGTTAGAATTTCAGTTGACCCTTGAACAACATGGGTTTGAACTGTGCTGGTGAGATTTTTTTTAAAACCAACCACAGATCAAAGCTGCTATACTCCCAGGATGCTAAACCGACAAATAGGGAGGCAGAATTTTCCTATACTCAAGTTCAGCAGGACAGACTGTATGTAGGACTTGAGTATATGCAGATTTTGGTACATTGTCATCTCCCTTAATTGGTCCTGGAACCAATCTCCTAAGTACACTGAGGGACAACTGCATATCTCTTGGCACAAAAAAGTCTTAAAATAAATACTTAAATTGAAGCATTGCCTGCTTCATGAGTACCAATTTCGTTTTTTACATTACACCATAATGCTCATGAGATCAGAGTTTATGCCATAGTTCTATGGATTTCTTCCTATGCATGTGATAGTACTAGGCTTACTGTAAGAGCTCCAAAAATATTTTCTGACATATGTTCTACTTATATGTCATTATGTAAAAATAAAACAAAATTATACTCATGCATTTTTAATATTAGCATTTTTTGACTCTATTGATAACATCTGTATTTTCCAACTGCGAAGTTTGTGTAAGTGATCTCTTGTAAGATGGAGGTCTGAAACATAAACAGTTTATCACGTGTTGCTGGAGTAACAATTGGCAGAGATTGCCCTAAACTCTAATGACATTTTACTCTCCCCAAATCAGATCGATAGGTTTTTGAAGTGCACTCATGTTGAATTAGAACAATAATAAACAGTTTTTAAAGAAATGCATGAAAAATACAAAGAAATAACAAAAAATACCTTTTAAAATACACATCTTTTCACCTTTTTGAAGCATTTTTACAAAGTTAAGGGGTGTGTGTCTGTGTGTGTGTGTGTGTGTGTGTGTGTGGGTGTGTGTGTGTGTGTGTATTTACCACCCCCTCACCATGATGACAACAAGAACTGAAGAAAAAGATTTCCTGGGGCTGGGCATGGTGACTCACACCTGTAATCCCAGCACTTTGGGAGGCTGAGGCGGGCAGATTGCCTGAGCTCAGGAGTTCGAGACCAGCCTGGGCAACACGTTGAAACCCCATCTCTACTAAAATACAAAAAAATAGCTGGGCATGGTGGCATGCGCCTGTAATCCCAGCTACTTGGGAGGCTGAGTCAGTAGAAGCGCTTGAACCCGGGAGTTGGAGGTTGCAGTGAGGTGAGATCACGCCACTGCACTCCAGCCTGGGCAACAGAGTGAGACTCTGTCTCAAAAAAAAAAAAAAAAAAAGATTTCCTTGCAAAAAGAACCGACACACTGACCAGCTGGATGCACAGCAGTGTTCTGTGTTTTCATCTGACTTCCTTAGAGAAGAAATCGTCTGATTCATTCAGGGACTATCCTCCCAAGCTAATTAGTACATTTAATCACGTCCAATAACCTTGAGTCAGTGGGGGGTTTTTTTGTTTGTTTTTTGGTTTTTTGGCCTAGTTTCCGAGTGCTACATGCCAGGGACATTTTTAGGTGCTTAACATGCATTAACTAATGTAATTCTCCAACAACCCTATGAGGGTATTTAAGGTAAGCATTATTCTAAAAATGCCCTCCTCCAAAGATTTCCATCCTGATTACTCATTGAAACACTAATTTAGGTACTGATCTGAAGGGACTTTATAAATATAATTAAAATTTATGTACCTTAAGATAGAAAGAGGCCAGGCACAGTGGCTCACGTCTGTAATCCCAGCACTTTGGGAGGCCAAGGCCCGAGGTGGGTGGATTACGTGAGGACAGGAGTTCCAGATCAACCTGCCCAATATGGAGAGACCCCATCTCTACTAAAAATATGAAAATTAGCCAGGCATGGTGATGCATGTCTGCAATCTCAGCTACTCAAAAAGGCTGAGGCAGGAGAATTGTTTGAACCTGGGAGGCAGAGGTTGCAATGAGCTTAGATTGCACCACTGCACTCCAGTCTGGGTGACAGAGTGAGTGTCTTTTTTTGAGACTCTGTCTCAAAAAAAAAAAAAGTTAATTGTTTGGTTATATTTGATCTAATAATTTTTTAGGCCCCTAGAAACAGAGAATTTTTTCAGGCTAGAGTCAGAGAGATGTGGCAAAAGAAGGAACAGGAACAGGAGAGATCATACAGAAAGGGAGATCAGAGAGATTTAAAGTGTGAGGAGGACTTGACCTGCCCTTCCTGGCTTTGAAGGTGGAGGAAGGAGCCACAAGCCAAGGAATGCAGATGGCCTCTAGGAGCTGGGAGTCCCCATCTAAAAGCCAGCAAGGAAACTGCACAGAACTGAGCTCTGCCAACAACCTGAATTGAGGCTGAAAGCAGATCCCACCCCTGTCCCCCACCCAAACCCCACCACCCCGGAACCTTCATTGAGGAACACAGTCCTGCTGACCGTTTACCGGTGCAGTTCTAGATTAGAGGAGACTAAAGAGACATGATCACCAAATTCAAGGCGGCCCTTGATTAGATTCTAGTTGTGGATGGGGTAGGGAATAACTTTAAAGAATATTGTTTAAACAAGTGGGGAAATTTTAATTTGACTTATTTATTAGAGAATAGTATTTTATCAATATTAAATTTCCTGAATGTGATAGTTGAATTGTGGTTATTTAGAAGAATGCCCTAGTTCTTAGGAGACAACATGCTCAAGCATTTAGGAGTGAAGTATCATCCTTAATACAAGCCGAGATAAAGCAAATATGTACAATGCGAACAGTTGGTGAATCTAGATGAAGGGTATACAGGTGTTCATTGAATTATTTTTTGCAATTTTTCTGAAAAAAATAAATTTTTCAAAATACAAAGTTGGCGGGGAAAAAACATCACTGTGGATACTTCCTGTAGGATGGATTTGAGGTCAATAGGAAAGAGGTGGGAAGACAAGATGGGAAGGTATTCCGCAGCCAGACTGAGGGCTGGGATTCAAGAGGAACAGCAGGGATAATGGAAAGCATGCCCCGCCCACAGCTAGGCCAGCGAAGCAGCTCATCCTATAACTGTGGTTCCCACAGCCTTCCCTTGCAGGACAAACTCCCATGTGCCGGGGGTGCGGTCGCCCAGCGCCTTCCGAATTTGGTTGGGATTGAGGAGCCGCGCAGCGGGATGCTGTGCCCCGCCCCGCTCCAGTCTGGAAGAGCCCACGTGTCACTGTTAGATGGGGGAAGCGGCATCCTAAATTTAATTAGCGCTTCTCTTCTCAAAGTATCTCCCAAATCTTTGGCCTTTTTCCATAAAATAATTTTCTTTTAGCTCAATGTCTCCTAAGATATATGTTGAATTAAGAAAAAATATGAGTCACATAAAGATGCTTTTTTCAGCTTCCCCTGCTACGTCCGCCCCATGCGCCAGGCCGCTAGGGGCAGGACGTGGAAGCGGAAGCGCTGGTCTGGGGGCGTTCTCTCGAGTCCGGGCCGCAAGTCCCAGACGCTGCCCATGGAGGCGTCCAGCGAGCCGCCGCTGGATGCTAAGTCCGATGTGAGTTCCAACCTGGAAGGAGAGTGGGCAGCGAGGCTCTGGAGCAAGAAAGATGTTTCTCTAAATTGTGTTTCTGCTTCCGTTTCAGGTCACCAACCAGGTGGGTGAGCGGCCGCCCCGCCCTGTCCTCCGCCAGCCTGCCTCCCACGGCCGCGAGGCCGTGCCACCCTGAGCCTTCCCCAGGTCTCCCCTAGTCCTGTGTCCGCGAGCCGGTGACCTTCAGCCGTCCCTCTTGCATTGCTCCTTCTCTTTTGCACCTGAGCCGGTAGCCGTTGCCATTGTAATGAAAGCTCCTCTTCCCCACCCTGCACTAGCCCGAAGAATGCAGATCAAGGATTGTTGGGCTTTGATTAGGCGACAGTTATTCGAAGCCAGGAACACGGTATTTTAAAGTGTTGGATAAAGAAGTTAGGAAAATTTGCAGAGATAGCACCGCAAACATTTTCTTAGTCTCTAAGTTATTTTTGAAGATGGAGTATAGCATTTTAGCCTTTTAGAGTATGCATTTATAATGCTAGGAATATGAATTTGACTTTTAAAGTATATCTTAGCCCCATTTCTGTTTCAAGTGCTGCTGTGCTGTTGTAGCCAATAAACTATTTGTAGGCAAATAATTTATAACACACTTCCCAGAATAGGAGTACTAAAACTAGAGTATTTTTAGGCCAGGAGTTACCCAAGTCCATACAAAATGTAAGAAAGGGATGAGGTAAGAAATAATTAGAATACAGGGGCTGAAAGAGGTGTCCATTGACTGCTGTCTGTCATTTTTCTCTAACTGATCTTGCTTTCGAGGATTCCTGGGAAGTAGGGGAAGTCAGAGAGCTGTCAACCGTCTACCTGGCTTTGCTTAGTTATATGATTTAGTGCATTTCGAGTCAATCTTTCATAAGTCATTTTATCCATTCTCTTACGTTAAGTTTTGTATTTAAGATATTCTGAAACAGAATTATACTAATTATGGGGTTTTTAAAGTTGAACTCTTTTTGGCTTAAACACAAATTTATTATCTTATAGTTCTGGAGGTCAGAAGTCCTAAACTAGTCTTACGGTGCTAAAAGCAAGGTGTCTGCAGGGCTTTGTTCCTTCTGAGGCGGTAGGGGAGAATGTTTCCTCCTTAGCTTGTGGCCTCTGCTTCCATCTTCAAAGCACATCATTCCAGCCTCTGCTTCCGTTGTCACATTGCCTTCTCTGACTCTGACCCTTTTTCCTCCCTCTTATAAGGACCCTTTCAATTACATTAGGCCCACCTGGATAATCCAGGAAAATCTCCACATCTCCAAGTCCTTAATTTTGTCACATCTACCAATACTGTTTTGTTGCCTAAGGTAACATATTCATAGATTTTGAGGATTAGCATGTGGACATATTTGGGAGGGCCATTATTCAGCCTACTGCACATCCTTCTATGCAGTCATTCACAGATTATATGATTGTTTGCATAGGAAAAGCCAAGATCATTTACAAACATTATTAGAATTAATGTGAGAGTCAGCAAGGTGATTCCATTGTTGAACGTTCTTTAGTTCAGACATAAAGAGTTGGAAAATATAATTTTAAAGATGTCATTTATAACATGAAGAAATTACAGGCCAGCCATGGTGGCTCATGACTGTAAGCTCAGGGCTTTGGGAGGATTGCTTAAGGCCAGCAGTTTGAGACCAGCATGGGCAACATAGCAAGACCTTATCTCTATAAAAATAAAAAAATTAATCAGGTGTGGAGGCACAGACCTGTAGTACTAGCTACTCAGGAGGCTGAGAAGAGAAGATCTCTTGAGCCCAGGAGTTTGAGGCAGCAGTGAGCTGTGATTACACCACAGCAGTCCAGCCTGAGTGACAGAGTGAGACTCCATCTCTTAAAAAAAAAAAATTACGGAGTATCTTGCAAGAAATCTAATAAAAGATATTTAAAAGTTTTATGAAGAAAATTACAAAAAGCGGTAGACTTTTACTTTGTGATCCAGCGCATGAGGAGCTTGGAAGTCACCACCTGTCCTAGCAACAAGGAAAAACTGAACAAACTGAAAAATCAACAACTCCTCTTGGATCTGTCAGAGAAGCGAGGTCACAGGGCAAATTGCTGTCCCCCAAATTGGTGAGACAGACTGCGAATACAGAGAACCACAGCTTAGAGCAGAAGCTCCACAGAAACCAGTGCCTAAACTGAAATCGACAAATTACTGGAGGCTCCCAACTCTCCCTCACACCTGACATACAATCAGATCAGCATATTGTTTTCTCTCACTCTAAATTCACCTCCTCTTGCTGCCACCTGGGTCCAAGCCGCCATTCTCTTTCCTGGAATACCGCAGTAGCCTTGTAACAGGGTCTTCCAACTTCCTTAAACTTTGTGCCTCACCTGGCGGTCTGGATGAGCCTTTTGCAATGTAAGTTAGACCAGGTATCTCCGCTACTCAGAGCTTTTTAAGAGATTCTTGTCACACTGGAAAAAAGTCGTAGGTATTTACTGTGGCCTACAGGGCCCTTCGAAGATGGATTCCTCATCTCTTACCACTCTTCCTAGCTCATGCCCCTCCAGCCACCTGGGCCTCATTGTTCCCTGAACACGCCAAGCATGCTTCTCCCTCAGTCCAGAATGCTCTTTTCTCCAGGTCCTGTGGCTTTTTCTTCATTTTATTCGAGTCTCTTTCTGTTCAAAAGCCGCATGAAAGAGGTCGTCCCAGGTTATATCTAAATAGCCTTTCTTGTCACTCTGTCACCTTACCCTGCATTTCGTCACGCTATAATACTACCATTACATTATATTTTTGTTTATTGTCTGCCTTCCCCACTAGAATTCTGAAGGTCAGGAACTATTTTTTACATCCCTAATTCCTAGAATATAGTATTGCTTAGTATATACTGAATAGTGAGGCCTCCCTCTCTTACTCAAAACACATAGGAATTACCAGTTTTATCTATATAGACAGTTTTTATAGTCATGTTTTTATATTACTAGTAACTTCAGCCTCCACATCAATTTTTAGTGTGACTACAGCTAATTTGTGTGTTTACCTTTTTATATATTTACTTTCTGATTATTCTTTATATTCATTTTACTTCTGGATGTTTTTATATTTCCTTTTTTACTACTAGCTTTTTGTTTCTTTGTATGTTTTCCTTTTTTAATACTTCATCATACAATGATTTTGGGGCTACCGCACATTGTTTCATTCTTAACATTCTGCATAGTGGTAAGTGCTCTCTGTTCTGATTTTTTCTTTTATATTCTTTTATTTTTAAAATCTGTGCAGTTCACTCCTACTTAAGGTGAAACCACACTTATTAGAAGGTTTGCTTTCAGTTTGCATTTAACTGTTGAGGTTAGAATTTTGGAAACTCTCATCTCATAAACCTAGTCTTAGCTTTCTTTCAATTGTGAAGACTGACTTTGCACAGTGTCTTGATGGCAGCTCTCCGTTTCCTCACCTGACAATTTCACTGTTTTAATAGTGAGTGGAACTTAGCATTGCACGCCTTCATTGCTTTTCTGCTTGAAATCTTCTAGTTTTATTTCAGATTCTGAGAAACAAATAGGCAACCCTTTACTCTGCCACTTTAATGTTGATGGTAAAAGTGGAACTTCTTCCATCAAGGAGTTGTACAGGCTAAATACTGTTAAGAATAAGAAATTGCTTACTTATTTCATACTCAAACATTTAGGGGAGGGAAGCCCAGGTAGAAGAATCGCTTGAGCCCAGGAGGTCTAGGCTGCAGTGAGTCACATTCATGCCACTGCACTCCAGCCTGAGCAACAGACTGAGATCCTGTCTGGAAAAAAAAAAGAAGGAAAATGAATTCTTGGTTTAGTTTTTGGACATCACTATTGAACTGGAATTAAAACTCTCTCTACTCATGAACTCTCCTGAATTCTGTTCTTGGATTTTTAGCCACTTTCTGAACATTCCTATAGAGATAACCCTAGTATCATCTCTTAATGATACTTTTGGACTGGATACCTCAGCATTCTCCCAGTTATCCAAGCTCAATTTTTTATAATTTTCTATAAACAACTATAGTTGTATCTTGTAGGCAATCATCAAGACCTAGCAATGCATCCTTCATATGATCAGTTTAGTCCTGCTTGTCACCAACTTAGTTCAGGCACTTACATAACTTCAGACTTGGATTATTGTGTTCTGCTGCCACCAGAAGAATATCTCTCTCTCTCTCTTTTTTTTTTTTTTTTTTCAGATTTGGGGTCTCGCTCTGTTGCCCAGGCTGGAGTGCAGTGGCATGCTCACAGCTCACTGCATCCTTGACCTCCTGGGCTTAGGTGATCCTCCCACTTCATCCTCCCAAGTAGCTGGGACTTAAAGGCATGCCCTACCACACCTGGCTACTTTTTGTACTTTTGTATTTTTTGTAGAGACAGGGCTGTTGCCCAGGCTGGTCTGGAACCCCTGCACTCAAGTGATCCACCTGCCTTGGCCTCCCAAAGTGCTGGGATTACAGGTGTGAGCCACCGTGCCCAGCCTGAATATCCATTAATCAATATTTTGATATCATTCTCTCTATTGAAAAACTTTCGGCCGGGTGCGATGGCTCCCGCCTGTAATCCCAGCACTTTGGGAGGCTGAGGCAGGGCGGATCACGAGGTCAGGAGATTGAGACCACCCTGGCTAACATGGTGAAACCCTGTCTCTACTAAAAATACAAAAAAATTAGCCCGTCATGGTGGCGGGCGCCTGTAGTCCCAGCTACTCGGGTGGCTGAGGCAGGAGAATGGCGTGAACCCGGGAGGCAGAGCTTGCAGTAAGCCAAGATCGTGCCACTGCACTCCAGCCTGAGCAACAGAGCGAGACTCCATCTCAAAAAAAAAAAAAAACAAAACAAAAACTTTCAGTGAGTTGAGTCCCCAATGCCTACAGGGAAAGTTTAAGTGAGTTAATGTGGTAAGTTCTCCATAGTAAGATAAAGGATATAAAAGTACTGTGAAAACCTCTGAAAGCTCAATTTGCAAGGAATTACTGGCTTTTTGATCACTTGTCAACTTTATTTTTCATATTTGCTTACAAAAGCCATCTACTTTAAGACAGATAAATTAAGACTACAGGCGTGTGCCACCACACCCGGCTAATTTTTTGTATTTTTGGTAGAGATGGGGTTTCACTGTGTTAGCCAGGATGATTCTGATCTCCTGACCTCGTGATCCGCCCACCTCGGCCTCCCAAAGTGCTGGGATTACAGGCGTGAGCCACCGCACCCAGCAAGACAGATAAAATGTTCTATCCCTAAACCAAATTTCGACTCTTTTCATCTGTAATTGGTTCCGCCCAATATTTATTAAGCATTTATTCTTTGCTAGGTGTGCATTTATGGTATGTATAAATAAAACACATTTTCCTCAATTCCTGTTCTGTTTATTCTTCAAAATGGAGCTTAAAGCCTTCTGTAAAGCTTTCCCTTAACTCCCTAGGCTACAATAAACTCTTCCTTTCAACCAGAAATGTAGTCACTGACTTACATTGCTCTCTCTGGACTATATATGCAAAAAGTGCACAAAATATGGACAGTTAATGAATTATCTAAAAGCGAACACTCGTGTAACCACAAGCAAAAGTCAATAAATGGAGTGTTACCAGTCCCCCAGAAGCCCACCAGATGCTCCTCTTCAATCAATGCCCACTTCTCTCCACCCCAAAAGGATAGGCATATTCTCTTTATAGTTTTACCACCTGTTTCTCAAGTTTAAGTGAACTGAATCATAACTTTTGGACTTGTTTTAAATATTTTTGGTTTTACGTGTAATTGAAGTTCATTTTCATTGCTGTATAGCATTTCATTTATCCATTTTATTTCTGTTGAACATTTGGGTTTTCAGTTTAGGGCTATTATGAATAAAGCTGCTGGGGACATTTTCATATATGTATCCTGTGTACATATTCAAAAAGTTTTTCTAAGTTCTATCCCTAGTAGAATTTGGATCACAGTATGCAGAGCTTCAGTTTTACTAGCTAAAGTCAGCTCTTTGATAGATTGGCCCAGTTTACACTTTCACCAACAGCATGTGACACTTCCCATTGCCTCACATCCTTCCTTGCCAATACTTGGAATTTTCAGACTTAAATTTTTGCCATTTTGGTAGCTGTGTAGTGGTATCTAATTGTGGCTTTTAATTCCTTGTTTCTTAAGGTGAGCACATTTTCATATGTTTATTAGAAATTTGTAGTTATTTTGTGATTTGCCTTTCTATTTTTATATGGAGAACTTTTCTTTAAAATGAATTTATTCAATCTTCTTATAAAAGATGTTAACCTTTTGTCAGCACTAGCTTGGACTTAATGCTGTAGGAGATTGGTGCAAAGAAAGTCTGAGATAGGAGGAATTTTTGGTCCCCCTTTTATAAAAATGGGAGATTTACAAATGCCTTCCCCTATTCCATACCCCAAAAGTCCTAAAATAGAAAATGGGTTATATAACTTTTATGGTTGATTGAGGCACACTTGGGAACCATTCTATTTCTTTACCTCACCATAGTCCTCAAGCTCAAATATTTCATTAGTGTAAATAGTGATAAGGTGGTTTGGATTTCATCATTGTTCATGATGGATATGTGGTAGGATACGTGGTGGGATTTACAAAAATCCTAACTTTTCCAAGAAGAAATGTATTAACAAGTGAAGTTTTTTGCCCAGTGAGCATTAGTTTTGTAGAAAAAGGTATCAGTCAGTGAGCAAGTACTTTTTGAGTGGCTGCTATGTACCAGGCTATGCTTTGGAAACAAGACAGACAGTATTTACCCCTGTGTTTTATGTTTTAGAGTTATGTGCCTTAATATGAGGCAGTATTAACAGCTGCATGTTTTATGCCATGGCATCATTTAACAATCATTGACAGGAATTAGATTAAAAGTATTAAGACAACCAGTAGTCACTAAGCATGTAATCTTTGGAGTCAAACAGACTTTGGCTTCAGTTCTGATTCCAGAAATGTGTGACTTTATGCACATTACCTAAGCTCTCTGAAGTTGGCTTTTGTCATCTGCAAAGTGGAAACAATAACCTATAGTGTTATGTTGATTCAGTGAGGTATGTAATACATGTAAACTGCATAGCACATCACCCAGGGTATGTATCTGTCATGAACAATGATGAAATCCAAAACCACCTTATCACTATACATGCTAATGTAAGTCTTGAGCATGGAACAGCAAAGTGAACTAAAAGATACTCCAAGCCTGTTAAAGGAAACCAATACTGCCACATCTTCCTTCCACTTCCGTTATACATTGGAGGGGAGATTTTTTTTTTTCACTTTTTGTTTTTTCCATTTTAAACTATGATGGTGTTTTTTAACTGTTTATATCCCTTATAACCTCTCCATTTTTTCATTTGATTATTGTTCCTCTAGCAGTATTAAAATGAAGATACTTTATGTAAATATGACCAGCGTTGAAACTAAAAGTTGAGTGTAACTGCAGTAAAATTGAATAAATATCTGCATTCCAGGTAATGTTACTACTAATGTATTATTTTGTCCTGTCTTATTAAAGCTTGTAGATTTTCAGTGGAAACTGGGTATGGCTGTGAGCTCAGACACTTGCAGATCTCTTAAGTATCCTTACGTTGCAGTGATGCTAAAAGTGGCAGATCATTCAGGCCAAGTAAAGACCAAGTGCTTTGAAATGACGATTCCACAGTTTCAGGTTTGTGATTTAACTCATCCAGTTTTAGCTCAGCTTTTCTGTAATCATTGCATAAAAAGATGTATAAAATCTTTCTACGGGAAAACTTTAATGGTTTTTATTTGTAGATTGATATGCTTTACGTTTACTAGTAGTATATGCAAGAGACATTAATTTGTCTTCTTTGGGAATTTGATAAATTATTTTCAATATAATGTGCTGAAGTTGTGTACTGCGCCATTTGATCGCTTGAACAGTACTCCTCTCTGAGTATATTTAGGAAAGTTTTATCTTCAATGGCAGGATATTTACTTTGCATTTAAATGTTTTATTCTTATTCCTTTGGGCTTAATATTCAAGAATGTTAAGCTAAATGAATCTTTGAATAGTGTTGACCCTGAATTTTCTGACTGATAATGTTTACAAAAGACAGGTCAGAGCAAGTGTACCTCTTGGCTGGCTTTATCAGCTAGGGACTTAAGTAACTCAGTAGTTTAGAGTGATGTTACCATATTATCATTCTACCTCTTTTCTGTAACCAAGGAGGAATAAAAGGTGGGGGGGAGGTGGGAATAAATCAGGTTTTCTTTTTTTTTTTTTTTTTTTTTTTTTTTGAGACGGAGTCTCGCTCTGTTGCCCAGGCTGGAGTGCAGTGGCACGATCTTGGCTCACTGCAAGCTCTGCCTCCTGGGTTCACGCCATTCTCCTGCCTCAGCCTCCCGAGTAGCTGGGACTACAGGCGCCCACCACCATGCCTGGCTAATTTATTTGTATTTTTAGTAGAGATGGGGTTTCACCATGTTAGCCAGGATGGTC